>NC_000012.12:41551037-41702552 GCF_000001405.40 Homo sapiens | reverse complement strand
AGATTAAAAGAAACTGTGATCATCTCTAAATGAGGCAGGAAAATGTCCACTGAGCTTAGGTAATGAGTTTCTCAGCATTTTGATCTGGAGTTATTTACAACTTAGCAATCAAGGAAGGGTTTCAAATAAACAATGACTCATGGTTAACTGAGACTTTGTAGCCAACCTCAAACACACACAGACACAAAGACACAGACACACACACACACACACACACACACACACAGAGCAAAGGACTAAATCTTTTATCAGAGTGAAAAATATAGTGCCATATTATTAAGAGATAATGATTTGGTTCATAACATTTTGATTAGTAATTACAAATAGAGATCACAATTAAAACCATAGTCTCCAAGGTAGAAGGATCTAATGATAAAAATATTTGCTGATTCAGCCTTATCACCAACGGTGCACACCGGAGAATTGCCAGCAGGCTGCATTTTGCCTCAAGCTGTGTAGTTACCCCAGAGCAGATATGAATTTAGGATGTTACTGCTTATGTCATCAGATGTTCTTATTTGCAGACTGTGACCCTGTTAATTTGCAGTCTGAGATTGTAATAATAATTCTTAACTGGTTCACTTTATTAACACATAGCTTTCTTGTTTTCCTTATTTGTTAGTGCCTTTATGGGAGGGCTTGACTAGTGGTTACACCTAGGCTTTGGGAACATCTCTCCCAAAAACAGCTGAAGATGAACTGTGATAAATACATGTCACATATTTTAAAATGTTCCCATACAGAAGACTTTTGAATTAAATTTATTAATGTCTTACCCACTCATTCACCACCCAAAACACTACTAAGCATTATGCCTGTTATTATGCTAGGAAGGCTGGATGCATATGAAGAAGGAGGCCATTTCTATCCTTTGAAGTATTCACATTTTAGCAGTTTACAAAGTTATATAATATAACAATTTGTTTTACAAAAGTTCTACTTTAAGACAGTTGTCCAGAACTGAGAATGCATTATGGTTTTGTCATATAAATAGAACATAGAGGGTATTAATGTGCAAGTCAACTCCAATCCTATATAGCCTCTGACACATGCTGTTACTGAACCTAATCTTTGTCTAGAACAATATTTATTTAAGGAAAATGCATTTGGAAATGCCACCAGAATGCCAAGAAGATCACATCTCAGCAGTGATAGAAAACATGCCCTCCTGCCACTGGCCCTACCTTTTTAGAGAGTAAGAGCTAAAACCACAGCCTCGAAGTGCTGGTGGGAGACCTGCTGGGGGAGCACCTGGCTGAGTTGGGGCTGGACTGATGGGGGCCTTTGACAGGAGAATCACACTGGGGAGAGGTGTCCATTCCCTGGATGTCAGTTTTCTTTTCTTTTGAAAGACTCAGGGGACAGTCTGTTTTTGTCTCCTGCCTCAGAAAAGGGTCAAATGGCGGCATGCTGATACAGCATATTCTGATGAATATAGTATTTGATCCGTCCAGGAAATGTCCTTTAAGATTGATCCTGCTAAATTTAGACAGAGGCTGTTTAGTCTTCTCAGATTCCAGGAGCTCAAACTACTTATTAAAAATCTCTCAGTTGGAAATAAGACCATAGATCTGTCAGCCTTTTGCTAAACCATTAAGCCGTAGATACCACTTTTACTGAGTAGGGTATAACTTCAGTTGTTGAGGAGGAGATTATTTGCAGTGGTACATATCACCATAGTAACTGGATTTTCAAGCAGGGCTGTTGAAATGGAACTCAAAAGTCACGCAGAAACAGGTCTACCTTACACTGGCTTCAAAAGGACCATGTAGGGGAGAGGGAGAACGATTCATGGATTAGATGCCATTTGATCTATGATTGTTCAAATGCATGGGTGAAGAGATAGGCAATATGTGTGTTCATATCAATATACTGCGGCATTAAGACAGAACTATGTATTTCACCATCAACCTGCTATAAATGAACAAACCAATGAACAGTCTCTTCTCTCATAATTTTGTGGCTTAAACCAATGCAACATTTATGAATACACAGAGGCGATATTAGACTTGATTCTTTTAAGAACCTTAATTGGCATTCTAGAAGCTATTCACCCTAAAGTGAAGTTATTCACCATAAAACAGCAAACATTTATTGTGTTTTTTTTTGTACTTTGTAATTGTTGCGGGAGAGAGTGTGCTTGACACTGTAGTAAAGGTACAAAACAAATGTAATGGATTTTCATGGGAAAATCCACATCAAATTTCAGAACTTAAAGAAAACGTAGATTATATAAAGGGATTTTAAAAAGTTCAAGGAAAATGAAATTAAAATAATTTATTTATTTCATTCAAATAAATTGAAAGAAAAATTTTAGGTTGTATACAACTCTGCAAAGGACCTAACAGTGTAGGTCAGTACATACTACTTCAACCCTTTGCAGATGCAATAAAACTTTTTATTAAAGAACCACTATGACCATTAGCATCTGTCATTCCCCATATAGTATTGCTCCAACGTATTGCACTCTTTGTATGAATCCCCCTCCCCATACCATACCCCCTATTTAATCTTAATATAGGTCCCTTATTTATACTAGCTACATCAAGCCTAGCTGTCTATCTTAGGATCAGGATGAGCATTCAATTCAAAATATGCGCTATTTGGCGCACTACCAGCAGTAGCCCAAACAACTTCATATGTCATTACCCTAGCTATTATCCTCCTGTCAGTTCTTTTGATAAGTGGCTCATTTAATTTACCCACATTCATCGTAACACAAGAGTTTATTTGGCTACTCCTACCATCATGACCTCTAGCTATAATATGATACATCTCCACCCTAGCAGAGACTAACTAAGCCCCATTTGACCTAACAGAAGGGGAATTAGTCTTGGGATTTAATGTTGAACATGCCTCAGGTCCATTTGCCCTGTTCTTTATAGCAAAATATATAAATATCATTATAATGAATGCACTAATCACTAGTATCTTCCTAGGAGCAGTATATGATATTCATATACCAGAACTCTACACCATAAATTTTGTCAGCAAAACCCTCCTTTTAACGACCCTTTTTTTATGAATTCCAGCATCATACCCTCTATTTCATTATGATCAGCTCATATATTGTGAAAAAACTTCTCACTACTCACACTAGCACTTTGCAAATAACGTATCTCTGTGCCCATCATAATATCTAGTATTCCACCTCAAACATAAGAAATATGTCTGATAAAAGAGTTACTCTGATAGAGTAAATAATAGAGGTTTAAACCCTCTTATTTCTAGAATTATAGGAGTTGAGTGTATTCCTGAGAATCAAAAATTCTCCATGCTACCTAATACATCATATCCTATAGTTAGGTCAGCTAAATAAGCTATAGGGTCCATATCCCAAAAATCTTGGTTTATACACTTTCTCACACTAATCAACCCTGTAACCCAACTTATCATCTCTTTCACTATCTTTACAGGAACTGTCATCACAATAATAGGTTTACACTGACTTCTCAACTGAATGGGCATGGAAATAAATATATTAGCCATTGTCCCAATTCTATAAAAAAGCAAGCCCTCACTCCACAGAAGCAGCTACCAAATATTTTCTTACACAAGCAACTGCATCCATAATCCTCATAACAGGTGTTATTACTGATATACTGTGCTCCAGACAATGAATAATCATAAACTCAATCAATCAAGTAGCATCTTTAATAATATTAATAGCCTTAACAATAAAATTAGGCATATCTCCCTTCCACTTTTTAGTCCCAGAAGTAACCCAGGGAATTTCACTAACATCTGGTATAATCCTTCTTACATGACAAAAACTAGCCCCTATCTCCATTATATTTCAAATTTTCTTCTCAATGGACCTAAACATTTTAGTAGCAATTGCAACATTATCTGTTCTAGTAGGGGACTGAGGACTCAACCAAAGGCAACTGCAAAAAATCTTAGCCTGTTCATCAATTGCTCACATGGGCTGAATGATTGCAATCTTAACATATAACCCAAATATTACTATCCAAACCTTAATTATCTATCTTGTCTTGACAGTAGCTATATTTATAATATTTAATGCAAGCATAAGCACTGCAAGTCTATCGCTATCGCATGCCTTATTTGTCAACATAAGCTCCATCAAGGTCAAGATACTTTTGTAAGCAATACTATCAGCCATTTAGTCCATCCCTAAATAACTGAGGGTCCTGGGAATTTAATTATGGCACTGCAGTCCTTTTTATATTATTAACTAAGGAAAAATAGGTGCCCTTATGGCTATTTAAATATTAGGAAGCAAGAAGAAGTTAGAAGAAGCCAAATCAGGACTGTAAGGTGGATGCCTAATGATTCTCCATCAAAACTGTTTGGGTGGGACAAGATTAATTTTCTCCTTGCAAATGGATGTGGATGGTCTGCCCCTATAGCCTTTGTCCCTTCTTAAAACATCTCATCCCTTCTTAAAACAAGCTATCCGCTTGGAAATGGATTTTTGGGGGGCATTGTCTCCATAAACTTTTCATAAAGCATCAATGACTTCACCATTCTTCCATCCAAACTGCACCTTAATTATGATATTTGTTCTTGGGTTAATGTTAGCAAAATGCATGTTGCTCTGATAGGGGCTCTTTTCTTTTCTTTTCTTTTCTTTTCTTTTCTTTTCTTTTCTTTTCTTTTCTTTTTTTGAGATGGAGTCTCGCTCTGTCACCCAGGCTGGAGTGCAGTGGCATGATCTCTGCTCACTGCTACCTCTGCCTCCCGGGTTCAAATGATTCTCCTGCCTCAGCCTCCTGAATAGCTGGGACTACAGGTGCCCACCACCATGCCTGGCTAATTTTTTGTATTTTTGGTAGAGACAGGGTTTTACCATGTTAGCCAGGATGGTCTCGATCTCCTGACCTCGTGATCTGCCCTGCTTGGCCTCCCAAAGTGCTGGGATTACAGGGGTGAGCCACCGTGCCTGGCCAGGGGGCTCTTTTCAAACTGATGTCTTATTTTTCTTAGTGCCTCAAGCTGGATTGTGTTTAGCCATGTTATAACAAGTTACTAAGAAATTATTTTGGTGCAAAAAATTTTTGAAAACTTGCATAGGTTTTTTATTATATGCATTTTTCATGATTTTTTTGAAGACTCTCATCAAGTCCTAAAATCTTAAATATGGGAGGGACACTAAGGGTCTTCTTTTGCAATATCTCCAGTTTTCAAATGAGGAAGCAAAGTTCCATACTGATTGAGTAATGTGGTGAAAGTCACACAGCTAGTTAAATGTGGAACTAAGTCTAAAACCAAATATTCTAACTTCTGAGTCAAGAGATTAGGAGAAACATGACAAATGTTAAAGCTAGAGAGTTTCTACATGAATTGCTCACGATATAAAGTAGAAAACAAAATGAATACACATGGAACAAGTAGAATGTAATTATAGAGGGCGAGAGTTTGGAATTAAGGATGAGAGTATTCTCACTAAATTTCCTTTAAAATTTCTTATTAATTTTTAAGGTGTATGCTTTCTAAAAATGTGAGCTACAGTTTGTGAGACCTGCTTTGTTTTTAAAGTTAAACAATGCAGGAAAGTATAGAGACGGTTATAAAAGACATTCATATACAAATTAACAACTGAAAAGTAACTTTTTTTCCTTTTTGCTTTAAGTCTCTTTCTCCTTCTTTCTCTAAACCAGAGGAATATCACATTACAAATAAAGTTGTTGCTCTTCTTCCTCATTTCTAGCTTTATTTTCCTCCCAGACCCTATCCCAGCCAGTCACTGTCACAAATGCATTTTTCACCAAATATTTAGTGAGTCCCTACTATATGCCAGGCAGAGTTCTAGGTGCTTGAAATACATCAATAAAAATATTATTAACCAAGAATATTTTACAGTTTAGAGAAGGAATTTGTTAAGTATTCATTTTTATTATTCATGCCTATATATATCTATACACATGAATAATATGTTCTTTCTGTATGCTTTTTCCCATTTTTTTTTCATTGTGGTAAAATACACATAAAACGTACCACCTTAACTGTTTTTAACATACAGATGAGTGGCATTAAATACATTCATCATGTTGTGCAGTCATCACCACCATCCATCTCCAAAACTCTTTTTATCTTATAAAACTGAAACTCTGTACCCATTAAATAATAACTCCCCATTTTCCCCTTGTCCCATCCCTTAGCAACAACTTCCACTATTTCTGTCTATGTGATTTTGACTACACTAAATACTTCATATATGTGGAATCATACAGTATTTATCCTTTTGTGATTGGCTTATTTCACTTAGCATAATGTCCTCAAGTTTCATCCATGTTGTAGCATATGTCAGCATTTTCTCCCCTTTTAAGGCTAAATAATATTCTATTGTATGCATATGCCATATATTGCTTATCCATTCATATGCTGATGGAAAGTAGATTGCTTCCACATTTTAGCTACTGTGAATGATGCTGCTGTGAACATGGGTGTACAAATTATCTCTTAGAGACCCATCTTTCAATTCTTTTGGATATATATCCAGAAGTGGAATTGTTGTATAATATGGTAACTCTATTTATAATTTTTAGAGGGACTACCATACTGTTTTTCACAGTGGCTGTAATGAACCATTTTACATTCTACAATGTCTCCACATCATTGCCCTCACCAACACTTTTTTTTTTTTTTTTTGGAGATGGAATCTTGCTCTGTTGCCCAGGCTGGAGTGCAGTGCAGTGGTGCGATCTTGGCTCATGGCAACCTCCACCTTCTGAGTTCAAGCAATTCTCCTGCCTCAGCCTCCCAAGAAGCTGGGACTAGAGGTGTGTGCCACCATGCTTGGCTAATTTTTGTATTTTTAGTAGAGACAGGGTTTCACCATGTTGGCCAGGCTGGTCTCGAACTCCTGACCTCAGGTGATCCACTTGCTTTGGCCTTCCAAAATGCTGGGATTACAGATGTGAGTCACTGTGCCCGGCCAACCAACACTTATTTTCTATTTTTTTTTTAATAGTAGTCATACTAATGGGTGTGAGGTAATATCTCATTGTACTTTTGATTTGCATTTCCCTAATTACTAGTGATGTTAAGGATATTTTTATGTGCTTATTGGATATTTGTATATCTTCTTTAGAGAAATATCTATTTAAGTCCTTTGCCCAGTTTTCAATTGGATTATTTTCATGTTGTTGAGCTTTAGGATATATTCCAGATGTTAATCCTTTATTACAATGGTCACCAACCTTTTTGATATGAGGGACCAATTTTGTGGAAGACAATTTTTTCATGGATGGGGAAGGGGAATGATTTCAAAATGATTCAGGTGTATTACATTTATTGTGCACTTTATTTCTATTATTATTACATTGCAATATATAATGAAATAGTTATACAACTCACCATAATGTAGAATCACTGGGAGCCCTGAGCTTGTTTTCCTGCAACTAGATGGTCCTATCTGTGGGTGATGCGAGACAGTGACAGATCGTCAGGCATTAGATTCTCATAAGGAGCATGCAACTTTGATCCCTCGTGGGGTCAATATGGTTCATGCTTCTGTGAGAATCTAATGCTGCCTCTGATCTGACAGAAGGTGGAGCTCAGCTTCACTCACTGGCCCATGCTGACCTCCTGCTTTGTGGCCCATTTCCTAACAGGCTACGGACCAGTACCAGGAGTTGGGGGTCCCCTGTCTTATCATACACATAGTTTGCAAATATTTTCTTCCATTCTGTGGGTTGCCCGTTGATAGTGTCTTTGGATGCACAGATTATTAAGATATTCATTAAGTCCAATGTGTCCATTTTTTGTTGTTGCCTGTGACTTTGTTTTCATATCCAAAAAATCATTGCCAAATCCAATATCATGAGACGTTTTTCCTGTATTTTCTTCTATGAGTTTTATAGTTCCAGGTCTTTGATCCCTTTTGAATTAATTTTCATGTATGGTGATAGATAAGGGTCCAACTTTAATCTTCCATATGTGGATATCCAGTTTACTCAGCACCATTTGTTGAAGAGATGGTCCATTTCCCCGCTGAATGCTCTTGGCACCTTTATAAAAAATCACCTTTATAAAAATATATGTGGGGGTTTTCTGGGCTCTCTCTTCTATTTCTCTGGTCTATACATCTGTCTTTATGCTAATACCACACTGTTTTGAATATTATGGCTTTTAAAATACATATAATATGCATCATGCTGTATATGTTAATCTGAAACTACAGCTTGCTTTTTCCATACAACATTGTGTTTTTGAGATCTACTAATGTTGATAAAGTTCATTTTAGCTGCTTTATGATATTGATATTGTATTTACTTATTCCTCTATTGAAAGTCATTGAGAATGAATCACATTTTCACTACTGGCATAATGCTGCAATGCCATACTTAAAAGGGTCTATCTACTGTGTGCATATTTAAGTCTCTGAGATATTTACCTAGATATGGGTTTGCTGAGTCTTAGGGTAAATACATTTTCTATTTTCCTAGATGCTGCTGAATTACTTACTAAAGTTACCATTTTTTTTCCTCATCAGCAGTGATTTTCACCTACAAACTATTTACAGTTCATGGTCATGTAATCTCTTTGATGACATATATAAGCATGGCATGTTTTTTCTTTTGCAGGAAGAGTGTATTTGTGTTAAGAGTACTTTGAGATTAACGTCTCATAAAGTGACTGGGAAAGTCATTTTTATATTGTAGTACAGGAATCCTAACTCCTAGTCTTATTAAATAGGAAAAGCAGGGCTTGGTCCTTCTGTATATAGGTTAGTTAGTCTGAAATAAAATGAAACAAATCCTTTAAAGGAGTAAGAGCATAGGTAATCCAAAAATACTAGAAATAATACACTAGTGGGAGTGAGAGTACAAGTTTAATTATGTGAGAACCTGAAAATTACAAGAATATTGTCTAAAAATTAGATTCAATGGAGTATTTTTCAAGCTGTATTATGAAACTGATTTCTATTGTTAAAACTCCATTGGTTTGGAAAGATTTATTCTAAATACTGGCAAAGAGCTTATGCTAAAAGGAGTTAGGAGATTGACTTAAACATTTTTTCAAAGAGAGTGTACTTTCCCTAATCAAGTAAGCACAATGTCAAATATAAACTGAAGTTACCGACAATTAAGAGGAAATTATCTAGACAATTGCTGGTTATTAAGCTAAGAGTTTATTTCATAATGAAATTGGCTGGATTGAAATGTTTAAAAGTCAAAATATGAAAAATTATATAAATTGTAGTCTTTTGAATTTCAGAGTATTTTTAAAAATCCAATAACTCCTTGAATCATCTAGTGAATTTTGAAATTCATGGCAGAGACCAAAGTTTGAGAGACAACATTTTGAGTCTGAATGCCTTTCCTTTTTGGTCTCAAAATCCATGGCCCTGGAGGATTTATGGCCAAGAGATTTTTCCAAAAACATCTATGTGAGAGAAGTGCATGATGTTTTCAGAGCGGTTTCTCCCCCTACCCTCAAGAAGATAAAGATTCCACAGAGGGTGACTATGGAACAAGTCCTGAGCAAGAGGAAGCTTAGATGCTAGTGAATATGTAAGAAGGGCTTCATTTTTTTCTTAGGTGTAAGACATTAACCATTCATCTGGACCTGTGCCACCAGAATCTCCCAGGTGTGCTCTCATTAGCACATTATGGTTACTGGAGAACAGTACAGAGGATCCTGAGGACTCAGCCTCCCCACCCAGTTGCAGCCTGCTGTGAGCACACTCCTGAACCCCACTCAGTTGGGTAAGATCAAGGGTCAATTATCCAGACCTCTTAGAGACAACTAAGAGCCCTAACCTAGGTCATAGGGGTTAACCTCCATATGAATGGTCAGAGAAGGATGGAGATAGCTCATTGTTTTTCCTTGGGCCCAGAGGGGGTTTTGGAAAGCATCTGAATATTTTCTGTGCTCCAAAGAGGGACACAGCAGTAGCAGAGAAGACCCTTGCAGACCAGAAGTAGCACTGCATTTGTTAGAATAAGGCAGCAGCAAATCCGCCTGCAATCTGTGAATGGAGGCTGGATGAAGAATGAGATATACTCCAGATTCCAATATCTGGAGACTAACCAGACACAAGGACAGTTGGAGGAGCTGACATGAGTATGTAAGGGCCATTGTGTAAATTTCCCCAAACTTGTACACAACCACAGGGACTGGAAGGGAAGTATAAGTTTACTCAGAAAAAGTGTCAATTGACAGAAAACCCTGAATTATTATTATTATTTTTTGCTCTGAATTTACAAAGAGTAAGCTGCTGCCATCAGGTAGAATGGAGGTTGTGTTAGTTCATTCTCTCACTGCTATAAAGAACTATCTGAGACTGGATAATTTATGAAGAAAAGAGGTTTAATTGACTCACAGTTCCACATGGCTGGGAGGCCTTAGGAAACTTACAGTTGTGGTGGAAGGCAAAGGGGAAGCAGGCACAGTCTTCACATGTTGGAGCAGGAGAGAAAGAGAGTGAGCGAGGGGAGACGTGCCATACTTTTAAACCAGCAGATCTCAAAACAACTCACTCACTATCACAAGAACACTGTGGGGGGAAATCCACCCCTATAATCCAATTACCTCCTACCAGGTCCCTCCTTCAACATGTGAGAATTACAATTAAACATGAGATTTGGGTGGGGACACAGAGCCAAACCATATCAGAAGTTCAAGATAAAAATAAGCATAATTATAGAAAACAAACTGACATTATTTGCACATTTGAGTTCATAGTTGAGAAATCTGTATTCATTTTATAATTTTACCTCCAGGACCTTAATACTTTCAATAACATATGTTTTTTTGACAGGACTAAGAAAGAAAGAGTTGAAAGCACTGATTAGCTTTCTGATGTAACTGAATTGACTTAAAATTTAAAGTTTCCAATTCCTATAAGTTAAAGAGGATATATAAGCCAATATAATTTATTATGTTTCTGAAGTCTAATGGTTGAAGATTTTTTTTAAATTTCAAATCAGTTTTAGTGAATCATATTTTAGAAATGTGAAATTTTCATTGATTTTTGAGAGTCTAAAAAACCTGATCTTAAATATAAAACATGCCTTAGTTTAAAAAAATCTCAAAACACGTAACAGTTTTATAATAAATTTAAAATGGCTATAAGGACCATTTTATGCTCATTTATTATTCATTTGCACAATTATGAAACAGAAAGAGAAGTATATTTTCTATTAGTTGCATTGTTTTATCAATGTAAGCGTAACAAATTGCCATACTTATCTCTCTTTCTGAAATTTCTTTCTGAAATTATGTTTCTGATTTTACATAGCTGATAACGTATCCATTTGGGAGCTTGGCTTATTATGATCATAATTTGAAAAATTCACTGGGGACTGTCAAAACTTGAAATTCAAAACAATATTTATAGAAACCACCAGGAGAAACACTAGTTTGTTGTTTTATCCAGTTGTTTCTGTGGTTCAGTTTCTGAGACAGATATTGTTAGTTGCTTATACAGTTTTCATTATCTCTTTCTTTCTTCTTAAGGAACTCTCCCTTAAATCAACCAAATATATCACTAAGAAGTTCCATTATAGAGTTACACAACAGAAAATGAAAACTTAAGAGTTTTGAGAGAAATTGGTGCTCCTAGAGCCTATCAACCCCGGCTCTTCTACTATTAAGATTTTCAAAAAACTTTGATCTTCTGAGGTTTCAATCTAATATACCTGGGTGTAGTTTTTTTTTTTTTTGGCATTCTGTTTGGTGCTCCCTGAGCTTCCTGGATCTGTGCCTGACATTAATCTGGGGTAAGTCAGTCATTATTGCTTGAAATTTTTCTCTGTTTCTTCCCTTATTTCCCTTCCAGTATATCCTATATATATATGCTACATATATATATGCCACACATCTGTAGTGGCCCCACAATTCTCAGATATTCTGTTTTGTGTTTTAACTTTTGCTTTTTCAGTGTTGGAAGTTTCTATTGTCATATCCTCAATTTCTGAGATGCTTTCCTCAGCTGTGTTTAATCTACTCAATGAGCCCATCAAAGGTGTTCTTCATTTCTGTTATAGTGTTTTTGATCTTTAGCATTTCTTTTTTATTCTTTTGTAGAATTTTCACCTTTCTGCTTATGTTTACCCATCTGTTCTTGCATACTTCCCTAGGAGCCCTTAGCATATTAGTTATAGTTTTTAAAATTTTTGGTCTGATAACGCCAACATTCCTGCTATATCTGACTCTGATTCTCATACTTGGTCAATTTCTTCAAACTAGGGTTTTTTTTTTGCCTTGTAATTTCTTGCTGAAAGAAGGACATAATGTACTAAGTAAAAAGAACTGCAGCAAATAGGCCTTTAGTGGTGCCGTGGTAAGGGGTGGGGAGAAGGGAAGCATTGTATAGTCCTCTGATTAGGTCGTAGTTTTTTTTAAAAGTTTATTTTTTAAAATTTCAATAGCCTTTTGGGTACAAGTGGTTTTTGGTTACATGGATGAATTATATACTCATGAAGTCTGAGATTTTAGTGTACCCATCACCCAAATAGTTCATATTGTACACAATATATAGTTTTTTATCCCGTCTCCCGCCCATCTTCACCCCTCTGAGTCTCCGAAGTCCAAGGTCTCAGCCTCTTGGTGAGCTTGTGCCCTGGACTATGAAGCTCACCATGGGCTGATAGAGATGCTGTAGGGTAAACTCAAAAAAGGACCTAGTCTGTCCGGTCCTCCCCGCAACCCCCAGCCCACCAATCAGAACTGTCCCTCTCCCAACCCTTATTTTTAACTTCCAGGCTTGTTCACACTGAGCCTCCAGCAATTTGTGAATTTCATCTTAGGTTTGCCTATCCCAGCAATGGTGTCCACAGAGGTATCCACTCATGGTTTTCTGCTCTGGTAAGTTGTGATTTCCTGTATCTGCCTTTCCTTCCAATTTTGGGGGCAGAGGTTTTCCCTGTGACTTCGCATCTCTGAAAGACCTTAGAAGAGTTGATTTTTCAGTTTGTTCAGCTTGTTACTTGTGAAGACAGAGTGGCAACTTCTGAGCTCCTTCCATGCGGGATGGGAAACTGGAAGCCCCTGGCCCTTCTCATTTTAATGGGCTCCACTGATCAGCTCCTTCTTGGTCCCAGGACTGTGCCCTTGTTATAGCAGCCTACTTAACTCCCCTGGGCTTGGTCTCTGTGAGCAAGTCCTCCTCTTTGGACACCAGGGTCCCATTTTTCCTGGTCCCAGAACTTTTCCCATCACACAGTGAACAACCATTTTCTTCAAGGGAAATACCCCACCACTTTCACAGGGTGTACCTGTGAAAGACAAAGCATAGCTATAGTATTCAGGAATGAAATCATAAACTATCATCCCTTGAAATGGTAACCAATAAGGTTCTACCTAAATAGATGTGATAATATCTTTCTGGTATTTTTAATTAGCAAAATTTTGTCCTTAAACAAAAAAAAAACCATATTTAAGGTATAATCAATTAAAAGTAAGTTTTGAAATTATATAGTAAGCACTGTCCTGAAAATGTAAGTAGCTAATCAGTAACATTGAGATAAGAAATCTGGAAAATAAAATCTGGACTAGCTTTAAAAATGTCTAAAAGACCTGGTGCTATAATTTTAATGATTATTTTGAAGAACTCCTAAGCTTAAAACATCCCTAGACAAAGAAGATTAACAGTCCATTATTTTGTATTTATGCAAATTTCATTTTGGCATCAAAGACTCTTTTTTTTCAGAGCTTTTAACTAAGCAATCTTCTCCTATGCAGTTTGATTTGTGACTTGATTTTGAGCACTTTGTGCAATGACGGGCATCAGTTATTCTTCCACATCGATCTTCCATTAAAAGAAGTAAATGAGACTTTGGGTTCATAAATCAGATTCTCGAGAGTTCAGTTACCGAGAATCCATTTTCCAGACTCTGAACATCTCTTGGTCAAGTTACTCACCCTCTTTGAGCTTCGGCAGTCCAGCTGTGAAATGTCAATTTAAAATACCATTTATTTTATTTATATCTTGCCTCATTCAAGAAAGCATTGGAAAACACTTCTAGAAGAGCAAATATAAAAAATAATAAAAATACAAACACATATATTGTATTACATATAATAAATGTTATATATATTAATATATATTAGAGAATGTAAGAGTATACATAGAAAATCAGTACCTGGGAAAGTAATAATGTAGATGGTCAGTCTTAAGTATAAAAGAATAAAACTATCTCTTTGAAGAGGTCAATAGCAACTTGTTTTGTAGGGTTGATAAGAGAATGGAATAATGGAATCTATCTCAAATCTCTGGCACATCACAGGGTTCATCAAGTGGAAGTCCCCTTCTTCTTGGAAAATTGGGAATGGGTGTGTTTGTCACAGAACCTTGGGCCTGTGGTAATGTCAATACATGGGGCTTGGTGGAGGGGGGACTCTGTTACCACTGTGAGGATGAAAGGGGAGATGAATTTATAATAGCACAGTATATAATGTTAGTGTCAAAATTTGTTTAATACAGTAGTATGAGAAAGTAAGGCATACAGAACTGAGCAGAACAGGTGTGCATCAGCCTTGATACCCTAAGAGGGTAGAATAGGCTCAGTGGGAAGAAGCTATAGAAGATCCATTTCAGCTTCATATAAAGAAGGCTTTTCTGATGTATGAAATTCACCAAATGTGGCATATGTTGCTTCAGGACACAGTGAATATCTCTGGAGGTGTTTTACACATAAGCCAGGCACCCAGTTGGCTGGGATGCTGTTGAACTGATTCAAGGTGTGAATGGCTGGATGAATTATCTGAAATATCTAGCTGTCATGATTCTCTGATTTTTCTGAAGAGGCTTATTGAATAAAGTGAATTTTAAACAAGTTTTAATGTCAGGAATGAACACAGATCAATAGGGAACAGGAAGAGGCATTTTTGCTTAACTTTGAGTTTGTCCTAATATTTATTCTAATCTGTCATTCTTATCCTGTAGGAAACCCCTTATACATCCCATTAATTTAACTTGCAATTTTCCCATTATCTTTGATTCCTTGCAATTACCATTCTCTCCACAAATGAATCTGGCTGACAAATGTAGATATTTCTTTTTAACATGTCAGTGATATTGTGAAATATATATTTGGTACATGTCCCAATTTCCTTCTGGCATATGGCTCCTAAAATCCTTGGAATCGCTGGAGGATGCTAATAAGATGACCTGTGGCTGGGGGTTCCTAGATTGCTTCAGGGTGGAGGCTGGTAGCAGGAAAGACCAAGGCATGATTAGAGGGTGATGATTTTCAGCCCCACCCCTACAACTTCTAGGGGGAAGAGAGGTTGAAAGTTAAGTTGATCACCAATGGCCAATAATTTAATCAATTATGCCAAAGGGACTGGGTTTGAAAAACTTCAGATAGCTGAACATGGTGGTTCCTGGAGGGTGGCATGGAAGCTTTACAGCCCTTCCCACATGCCTAGCTCGAAACGTCTTTTCCATCTGGCTGTTTAGCTTTATTTTTTGTAATATTCTTTTTTTAAAAAATTATTTATTTATTTACTTATTTATTTTTGAGGCAGAGTCTCACTCTGCTGCCCAGGCTGGAGTGCAGTGACGCGATCTCGGCTCACTGCAACATCCACCTCCTGGGTTCGAGTGATTCTTCTGCTTCAGCCTCCCAAGTAGCTGAGATTACAGGCATTCGGCACCTTGCCCAGCTAATTTTTCTGTATTTTTAGTAGAGACTGGGTTTCACCATGTTGGTCAGGCTGATCTTGAACTCTTGACCTCAGGTGATCAGCCTGCCTTGGTCTCCCAAAGTGCTGGGATTACAGACATGAGCCACAGCACCTGGCCTGTAATATTCTTTATGATAAGTGGCTCAATGTGAGTAAAGTGGTTCTCTGAGTAATGGGAAACACTCTTGCAAATACATTGAACCCAAGGAAGGCACTAGGGGAACCTCTATTTTCAGCTGGTTGGTCAACCTGGGGCTTGCAATAGGCATCTGGAGTGGGGGGCAATCTTGTGGGACCAAGCCCTCAACCTATGGGACCTTACACTGTTTCCAGGTAGATGGTGTCAGAATGAATTGAATGAGAGGACACCCAGCTGGTGTCCACTGCAGAATTGCTTGGTTAGCGTATGAGGAAAACCCTCCACACATGTAGGGACACAGAAACATTCAGTGTTGAATAGAGAGTAGAGGTTAGGAAAAATAATACTTTGGGTTTTTGTTTTTCCTATTCTCAGAATGTCAGAGTCAATTTGCAGATTGTTTTTCTGGCTTCTAGGACTTTCTTTTACTCACTTTTTTTTTTTGATACATACAAAATACTGCTACCCCAGTCAAATCTTTACACAGTTTTCTGAAGCAGATTTTTTACTTTTACCTTTTTTCTTGGTTGCTTTCAAGAGCTTCTTTTCCAACATAACATGCAAACAAAACAATTTGCCAACACCTTTTTCATAGTCTCTGTTCTATTTTCTACTTTGCTCTCTAAGCTACTTGTGTCACCACGTTCCTCCTTTCCTCATGTCTCCCTTATATTCTCTGGACTCTTTCAGTTTTGACATAAGTAGATTTAATACCTACAAAGCCACTTATTGTCATTTCTTTCAAGTTCCTGCTGAAAGCTTATTCCTATAACTGTATTATTTCCTTTAAGTTACCTATGGAAGAGAAGTTAGTTAGAATAGGCACTAGAAGCAAAAAGAATCATGGATAAGCTCTCACCCAAGTGATACAATGACCAGCCTGCCAAAGCATGCTGATAGAATACATGTTACCACTCAAGAAAGATGATTGCCTGGACTGCTATTCTTTCTTCACTTTGCATGCTTTAAAATGGAGACCATATTTTATTTTATTTTTTACTATACTGTTATAGTATAAAAATATTTATTTTTAATTTTAGTTTTATTTTATTTCAATAGTTTTTGGGGAACAAGTGGTTTTTTATTATGTGGATAAGCTCTTCAGTGGTGAATTCTGAGATTTTGGTGTATCTGTCACTAGAGCAGTGTACACTGTATCCAATATGTAGTTTTTTATCCCTTACCCACCTTTCACCCTTTCCCCTTCCCCCTGAAGCCCCAAAGTCAGTTGTATCATTCTTATGCCTTTGCATCCTCATAGCTCAGCTGCCACTTATAAGTGAGAACATACAATATTTGGTTTTCCATTCCTGAGTTACTTCACTTAGAATAATGGTCTCTAACTCCACCCAGGTTGTGCAAATGCCATTATTTTGTTCCTTTTTATGGCTGAGTAGTATGCCATCGTATATATACACCAAATTTTCTTTATCCATTCATTGGTTGATGGGCTGGCTCCATATTTTTGCAATTGTGAATTATGCTGCTATAAATATGTGTGTACAAGTGTGCTTTTCATAGAATGACTTCTTTTCCTTTGGGTAGATACCCAGTAGCAGGATTGCTGGATTAAATGATGGTTCTACTTTTAGTTCTTTAAGGACTCTCCCTAGTGGTTGTACTAGTTTACATTCCCACCAGCAGTGTAAAAGTGTTCCCTCTCCACCACATCCATGCCAATATCTGTTATTTTTTGATTTTTAAAATTATGGCCATTCTTGCAGTAGTAAGATGGTATCTCACTGTGGTTTTAATTTACATTTCCCTGATAATTAGTGATATTGGGCATTTTTCATATGTTTGTTGGCCATTTGTATATCTTCTTTTGAGAATTGTCTATTCATGTCCTTTGCCCATTGTTTGATGGGATTATTTGTTTTTCTCTTGCTGATTTGTTTGAGTTTCTTGTAGATTCTGGATATTAGTCCTTTGTTGGATGCATAGTTTATAAATACTTTTTCCCACTCTGTGGGCTTTTTACTCTGCTGATTATTTCTTTTGCTGTGCAGAAGCTTTTTAGTGTAATTAGTTTCCATCTATTTATTTTTTGTTTTTGTTGCATTTGCTTTTGGGTTCTTGGTCATAAACTCTTTGCCTAAGCCAATGTCTAGAAGAGTTTTTCCAATGTTATCTTTTACAAATTTTACGGTTTCAGGTCTTGATTGATATTTTAGTGTATGGAAATTATGGAGCACATGATTTTAATTTTTAATATCATTAACCTATTTTACTTTGTAAAAGCTTTCACATTTGGTTTTTAAAAACTTTTTATAATCTTCACTACAAATCAGAGGAATGGGCAAAGTGAGTATTCTTATTCCCATTTACCAGATTAGATCACTGATGCTTAAAAAGAGTAAGGGATTTTTATGAAGATTGTAAGACTACATGATGCATCCAGAACTCAAATTCAAGTCTCCTGTTTTCTAGTCAAGTGCTCTTTAAAATTCAAGGAGACCATTTTATCTTTTCAAACCTGATTTTAAAATGCTTTTACAATTCAGGTCTCTCCCTGACATCCTTTAGTAAAAACCCATCATTAATTGCCATTTATGTACATCTTAAGAGAACAAAATCTGAAGAGCTTTAAAGTTGGAGACATTTATTTTGTCTACAAGTACATTTTTAAGTCACCTGTTTTCAGTTGTTTGAGACTGTATGACCACCTGCAACAGACATTCAATTGATAAACTCCTAGGAGGGTGACTCATTTTCAGTATTTCACACACACATTTGCTGAATACATCAAAGAAAGAATACATCCTAGCTGACTAGCGTGTTTAGAAGTGGAAAAGGAGAGCTCCAATCATAATTCCTTCTTCTATTTTAATTTGCACGTGCTGAGGAAGGCTGTCTATTAATCACCTACCTCAGACAAACAACCTTACCACTTAAAGGATTTTTAACTTCTCAGAGCGTGATGACTAATAAATCACTGTAAGGTTATTCCAGTATGGAAAATACACATCTTTATAACTCTGCAGTACCTCTAGCTTAGTGCCAAGGTTTCTCCCTAATGAAATAACTTTCTTTTATAGGAATAAGAGCAGGAAGTAAGCGATGAGTGAAAGCCAGAGGTAAAAGTTTGCACATTTTTATGCTGACTATTGAAATAAGAACTTGAAACAGATATTTGCTTTCTTTGTGTGAGATAAAGATGCAGTTTTTTTTAAAAAAAGAAAATGATAAATATTATGGCCCCCATAGAAAAAATACAGTTTCCCCCAAATACTGTAAAAAAAGGGTTTTTGAAAAATAGCAGGATAAAATGTGTTAGAAGAAAAAAAGCTTTTACTCCAGGCTACCATAATGAAGAAAAAGTGTTCCAAGTGTGAACTAATGAAGTACAAGGTAATGAATATTTAATTTGTATAATTTACCAAAGTGCTTTTAGAAATCAGAGCTACATTCTTCATAAATATAATGTTCATTAGGCCTTAACTGTATCTTACATGCAATTACTGTATCACCCATACAACTTCAGCACGGTATGGTGTTGAATAAAACCCCTCTGAGAATATCTTGAGGGTGAGGAGAGAAAAGGAGAAGTAAAACTGCTAAGCCTATGAAATTTGAATAGCCTACCTTTGGCAAGGAAAATATGAAGGGCTTTGCACATCTGGCATAGGGGTGGTGTTGGGCGGCCAGCACCTGCATGAACAGAATGGCTTCACCTAGGCTCCCTTCTCCCTTAGCAACAGCATTTTGAGGGATTAAACAAAATGAAAGCAGTTTGATGGCTCAGTAGGACATTTTTATCACATTCTTAAAGGTGAGAGAAGTGCTTAAAATCTGACTGATAGGATATCAGATTAAGCAGAGCAGTTTTCAGTAGAAACAAACTTGCGATGTGACATGAATTTTAATATGACCACTCCTGGAGTTCACATAGACTTCAGAACCCAAAACCTACACTCCTTGTCTGCATTATTATAATGGAATGTGATTTTTTTCCCTCTTGAAGCACATATCTTTTTCTTCTCTATTCTTGTATAAATTTGGCAGCCAAATTAACCCTGTCATTAGGGGGTTAGGTTAAACTTCAACATTTTATTTGAGGAAAATTTTTGAATATCTAATGAGAATCAAAGTTGGCAGTAAAATAAATGATATTCTAATATCTTTCAAATCGGAAAACCACTCTTAATAAGATAAATTTGACAAAAGAGATTTCTCAGCTTTGAAAACTCTACTTTCTCTTTGCTTTGTAATGTTTCTCTACAATTATTCTGGGGCTGTAAAATTTAACATTGCACGAAGACATTATATATGGTTCCACAGTCAATCCCACCTGTTATTACTAATTTCAGCACAGGCCATCTAAGAAGAGTCACAGAGCACTTTCAAATGTAACAGAGATATCCTTTTCTTTGGAAAAATGGCCTCGTCATGTGATTCATAATCAAAAAAATAATAGCACTACCTAAGAGGTGCAAAGAGTTTAGGGATAAAATGGAACGACTGAGGACTGAATTAATATGGGAATCATTAGTGTATGCACCTGCCAAGGATTTCCATTAAAGCATTTAAAGAAAAATGATTCTGACAAATTATACATTTTATGAGCAAAGATATGCAACCTGCTGCATTTGGCATTTTGTCTTTCCATTCCTGAAAGAAAGGTAAACTTCCTTTCTATGAGTCAGTGTAGTTGGCAATCTCTCCAGTGGCGTTGTCAATTAGCTGAGATGACCACCTGGAAGCCCTTGGTGCCAGCTGGCAGGTCTGGCCTTCAGGGAGCCCCTGCTGGTTGAACTTAGATTCTGTCCGAATGAAGGGAGACTCTGTCAGGGGAGTATTTTGGCAACTTCCAGTTATCATTTAAAAACTCTGTTGGCAAGGATCTTTCATTAGCTTATCATTTGACGAAGCAGGAAAATGCAAGTTCATTTTACTACAGGAATAAGCTCATGATTAAGATGGCCAAAGTGAATGCATTATGGGATTAAATCCTGGAGGAAGAATTTGATAGGGTGTTAAACTTGACATAGTAAAAAGATTATGGAATTTTAGTGCTAGAGAGAGAAAAAAAATCAATCATTCACCTATCTTGACCTGAATAAATGAATTGGAGAATAAAGACAACTATCCAGATAATTTTATAGATCCACAAAATTTTATAGGATTGAAGGAAATCCTAAAGAATTTAAAGGTACTATGTTTAAAGCATTTGCAGGAAATCTAGTTGAGGACATTCAGTAGTTAGTTGAATGACAATGTAGGGGAAGATGCAGAAGTGAGATCTATGTGTTGTCGCATTGTGTAAATGAATGACATCTCCGAGAGAGAGAGGAGAAAACTCTGAGGTAAGAGGAAAGCAAGAGGGTTATCGCAGATATGTTGTGGTCAAATGGAGACAATTCATATCATATGGCCTTTACTTTCTCAAGTATATAGGAGGCGAGATTCCTATTGGCTGAAAGTGAAGAAGATACACATGGATTTGAGGGTTTTGTAGGAGTTGGAAACACAGGAAACATTTATAACACAAATTGCATGAAGTGAGAGTCAACTGCAGATAAATGATTGCCCAGGAGTCTTGATGGGCAGCTGATGTTAGATAACATGGATTGGCTGTCATTCCAGCTGCCATCACTGCATGACTTTTTCTAACATGTTCAGCAGTCAATAGTAAGAGAGGAGTGATATGATGATTGACATTACTAAAGGCTGGAATGGCTACGATGGATAGTTCCAGGTTCTGAGTGACCTTTAAAACACCAAATAGCAAGAATTGGCACTATATAGAATGCACAGGGAAAAAAGATGCCTTGAGGCAAAATTAAGCTGTCTTCATAAGTAGTTCTGACTTTCATGTATCTCATTTCCTTGACTGTACTTGCCAATTTTATGGTTTTATACACTAGAATCACTGTTAACTTATATTATCTGAGACAACTATTTAGTGGATTAATTGAAAAAAATCTATTAAAGTGTGGAATCATTAAAAAATTGAAGTATGCAAACATCATTTTATTTTACCTTAAAACTTCTCCACTATTTTGAATGCAGAACACAGACATGTTTTTAGATGGATGTAAATCTAACCATATTCAAAAGATCTTTTATCCTCTCTTTCCCATAAATTGCACATATAATAATACATCATCTATAATTTTCATGCATTGAATCTGAGTTAGGGATTATTAAAATTTTTTAAAAGAAATGCTTCAGCAATAGGTTAATTTTATGTGGCAGTTTGACTGGACAATAGGGTGTTCAGACATTTAGCTAAATATTATTCTGGGTTTGTCTGGGTGGGTGTTTCCAGATAAGATTCACATTTGAATTATAGACTGAGTAAAGCAGATTGCCCCACCTCCCCAGCACTCCCCACAAACCCAGTAATGTAAGGGGGCCTGATTCAATCTCCCAGATAGAGATCTGAATAGAACAAAAAGGCTGAGTAAGAGGGAACTCAGTCTGCCTGACTGTGCTGGGGCATTGATCTTTTCTGGACTTTTGACTCAGGCTGAAACACTGGATTACCTTGGACCTTTAACCTGCTGGCTTTCAGAGTGAAACGCCACCATTGGATCTTGTATCCATCCATTTTTGCATCACTATAAAGAAATACCTGAGACTGGGTAATTTATAAAAATAGAGGTTTAATTGGTTTACAGTTTTGCAGGCTGTGCAGGAAGCATAGCAGCATCTGCTTCTGGGGAGGCCTCAGGAGGTTTACAATCCCAGCAGAAGGCGAAGTGGGCATAAGCGCATCACTTGGTAAAAGCAAGAGCAAGAGTGAGAGAGAGAGAGAGAGAAAGAGAAAGAGAGGAGCTGTTAAACATACACGCTTCTAAATGACCAGATTTTATGTGAACTCAGAGCGTGAGCTCACTTATCACCAAGAGTATTGCCCAAGCCATCCATGAGGGATCCACCCCCATGATCCAAACACCTCCCACCAGGCCCCACCTCCAACACTGGGGATTGCATTTCAACATGAGATTTGGGCCGGGACAAATATCCAAACTAGATCAGCTCTCCTGGGTCTCTGGCTTGTTGAGTGAAGATTTTGGGCCTTATTCTTCATAACAGCATGAGACAATTCTTTATAATACATTCTATTAGTTCTGTTTCTCTGGAGAACTCTAATACAAATGTCTAATTTATCAGGAATTATTTTTTACCAACCTATCTTTTCAAAGCATTTAACTACTCATAAAAACAATTTTATTTCTTTCCACATTCACATTTTATTAGTATACATACTCTTAAATGATGAAGCTTTAATACAACTAAACTGTCATGATTGGTTTAAGAACAAATTGATCTGTGGAAACAGAAGTGTGTGGAAGATCCAGTGGAAGGCAACATTCCTGGCTATAAACTGGGGAAGAGGATCTGGTAATCCCTCATTGTGAACAAGGACATTCCCCTCGTGTTTGAATCTCTGTGGTGCATCTGTACACATATGTACTCTATAGTAGCTGCACATCTCACCAGATCTGACTCAGAGGTGCTGGAGACAATCAGCTGGAGAAGATCCCATCAAGAGATGCTACTCCATTCTATACATTTAAGGTGAGGTATTGTAATGCATCCTAGTATGTTCCTCAAAATACTAGATCAACAACCTATGGAGTGGTGTATTAGATCCTCCACTTCACCCTTGGGAATTCTTTTATTTGTGAAATGAAGACTGAAGAGCCAAGGCATTTTGGTTTCAATAAAGTCACTATCTGGTATTGTGATCTACTGCTACAGATCCATATTTGTCCATGTCTGCTTGATGGTGTCCCAGCCTGTTCCTCCTGGTTTTATTTATTCCTTATTCAAGCCAATGAATAGGATCCCAAGTAGTCTCTCTCTTCCCCTCCCTATCAAAGTCTTCAGAACATACATACTTCAAGCTGTAGCTTTTAAATCTCCCCTACTGTATGCTTTCTCCCCTGGTGAGAGCTTTGGATCGTGTACAGAATGCATTATTGCCATTCATTCTGCCACCACCCAAACAACTTGGCCAACAAGTTATCTCAGCCTGACATATTTTATGCTGCAGTTTCGGTGAAAGAAGGGAGAGCAATTTGAGGTTCCATTGAAATTAAACTAGAAAGAAATGACCATCCGATTCAAACTGGACATTGGGAAACTATAATGAGGAAAGGGAAGGCCCAAGTGTTTGGTAATGAAAGGAAGAAATGGAAAGATAAGAGGCTGTGGTCAGAAAAGAGTATTTCCCCTTTGAGATAGCAAAATAAATAAAATCAAGTGATGGATGAGGCCAGTGGAAAGGATGACGGAAACAATATTTAAAAACACAGTTGGAACTTATTGGAAAATCAAGAGGTCAAGGATTTGTGAGGCCAGCATGTTTTTTTTATTATTATTATTATTATTTTTTAATTATACTTTAAGTTTTAGGGTACATGTGCACATTGTGCAGGTTAGTTACATATGTATACATGTGCCATGCTGGTGCGCTGCACCCACTAACTCGTCATCTAGCATTAGGTATATCTCCCAATGCTATCCCACCCCCCTCCCCCCTCCCCACCACAGTCCCCAGAGTGTGATATTCCCCTTCCTGTGTCCATGTGATCTCATTGTTCAATTCCCACCTATGAGTGAGAATATGTGGTGTTTGGTTTTTTGTTCTTGCGATAGTTTACTGAGAATGATGGTTTCCAATTTCATCCATGTCCCTACAAAGGACATGAACTCATCATTTTTTATGGCTGCATAGTATTCCATGGTGTATATGTGCCACATTTTCTTGATCCAGTCTATCATTGTTGGACATTTGGGTTGGTTCCAAGTCTTTGCTATTGTGAATAATGCCACAATAAACATACGTGTGCATGTGTCTTTATATCAGCATGATTTATAGTCATTTGGGTATATACCCAGTAATGGGATGGCTGGGTCAAATGGTATTTCTAGTTCTAGATCCGTGAGGAATCGCCACACTGACTTCCACAATGGTTGAACTAGTTTACAGTCCCACCAACAGTGTAAAAGTGTTCCTACTTCTCCACATCCTCTCCAGCACCTGTTGTTTCCTGACTTTTTAATGATTGCCATTCTAACTGGTGTGAGATGGTATCTTATTGTGGTTTGGATTTGCATTTCTCTGATGGCCAGTGATGATGAGCATTTTTTCATGTGTTTTTTGTCTGCATAAATGTCTTCTTTTGAGAAGTGTCTGTTCATGTCCCTCGCCCACTTTTTGATGGGGTTGTTTGTTTTTTTCTTGTAAATTTGTTGGAGTTCATTGTAGATTCGGGATATTAGCCCTTTGTCAGATGAGTAGGTTGTGAAAATTTTCTCCTATTTTGTAGGTTGCCTGTTCACTCTGATGGTAGTTTCTTTTGCTGTGCAGAAGCTCTTTAGTTTAATTAGATCCCATTTGTCAATTTTGGCTTTGGTTGCCATTGCTTTTGGTGTTTTGGACATGAAGTCCTTGCCCACGCCTATGTCCTGAATGGTAATGCCTAGGTTTTCTTCTAGGGTTTTTATGGTTTTAGGTCTAACGTTTAAATCTTTAATCCATCTTGAATTGATTTTTGTATAAGGTGTAAGGAAGGGATCCAGTTTCAGCTTTCTACATATGGCTAGCCAGTTTTCCCAGCACCATTTATTAAATAGGGAATCCTTTCCCCATTGCTTGTTTTTCTCAGGTTTGTCAAAGATCAGATAGTTGTAGATATGCGGCGTTATTTCTGAGGGCTCTGTTCTGTTCCATTGATCTATATCTCTGTTTTGGTACCAGTACCATGCTGTTTTGGTTACTGTAGCCTTGTAGTATAGTTTGAAGTCAGGTAGTGTGATGCCTCCAGCTTTGTTCTTTTGGCTTAGGATTGACTTGGCAATGAGGGCTCTTTTTTGGTTCCATATGAACTTTAAAGTAGTTTTTACCAATTCTGTGAAGAAAGGCATTGGTAACTTGATGGGGATGGCACTGAATCTGTAAATTACCTTGGGCAGTATGGCCATTTTCACGATATTGATTCTTCCTACCCATGAGCATGGAATGTTCTTCCATTTGTTTGTATCCTCTTTTATTTCCTTGAGCAGTGGTTTGTAGTTCTCCTTGAAGAGGTCCTTCACATCCCTTGTAAGTTGGATTCCTAGGTATTTTCTTCTCTTTGAAGCAATTGTGAATGGGAGTTCACTGATGATTTGGCTCTCTGTTTGTCTGTTGTTGGTGTATAGGAATGCTGGTGATTTTTCTACATTCATTTTGTATCCTGAGGCTTTGGTGAAGTTGCTTATTAGCTTAAGGAGATTTTGGGCTGAGACAATGGGGTTTTCTAGATAAACAATCATGTCGTCTGCAAACAGGGACAATTTGACTTCCTCTTTTCCTAATTGAATACCCTTTATTTCCTTCTCCTGCCTGATTGCCCTGGCCAGAACTTCCAACACTATGTTGAATAGGAGTGGTGAGAGAGGGCATCCATGTCTTGTGCCAGTTTTCAAAGGGAATGCTTCCAGTTTTTGCCCATTCAGTATGATATTGGCTGTGGGTTTGTCATAGATAGCTCTTATTATTTTGAAATACGTCCCATAAATACCTAATTTATTGAGAGTTTTTAGCATGAAGGGTTGTTGAATTTTGTCAAAGGCATTTTCTGCATCTATTGAGATAATCATGTGGTTTTTGTCTTTGGCTCTGTTTATATGCTGGATTACATTTATTGATTTGCGTATATTGAACCAGCCTTGCATCCCAGGGATGAAGCCCACTTGATCATGGTGGATAAGCTTTTTGATGTGCTGCTGGATTCCGTTTGCCAGTATTTTATTGAGGATTTTTGCATCAATGTTCATCAAGGATATTGGTCTAAAATTCTCTTTTTTGGTTGTGTCTCTGCCAGGCTTTGGTATCAGAATGATGCTGGCCTCATAAAATGAGTTAGGGAGGATTCCCTCTTTTTCTATTGATTGGAATAGTTTCAGAAGGAATGGTACCAGTTCCTCCTTGTACCTCTGGTAGAATTCGGCTGTGAATCCATCTGGTCCTGGACTCTTTTTGGTTGGAAAGCTATTGATTATTGCCACAATTTCAGCTCCTGTTATTTGTCTATTCAGAGATTCAGCTTCTTCCTGGTTTAGTCTTGGGAGAGTGTATGTGTCGAGGAATGTATCCATTTCTTCTAGATTTTCTAGTTTATTTGCGTAGAGGTGTTTGTAGTATTCCCTGATGGTAGTTTGTATTTCTGTGGGATCAGTGGTGATATCCCCTTTATCATTTTTTATTGCATCTATTTGATTCTTCTCTCTTTTTTTCTTTATTAGTCTTGCTAGCAGTCTATCAATTTTGTTGATCCTTTCAAAAAACCAGCTCCTGGATTCATTGATTTTTTGAAGGGTTTTTTGTGTCTCTATTTCCTTCAGTTCTGCTCTGATTTTAGTTATTTCTTGCCTTCTGCTAGCTTTTGAATGTGTTTGCTCTTGCTTTTCTAGTTCTTTTAATTGTGATGTTAGGGTGTCAATTTTGGATCTTTCCTGCTTTCTCTTGTGGGCATTTAGTGCTATAAATTTCCCTCTACACACTGCTTTGAATGCGTCCCAGAGATTCTGGTATGTTGTGTCTTTGTTCTCATTGGTTTCAAAGAACATCTTTATTTCTGCCTTCATTTCGTTATGTATCCAGTAGTCATTCAGGAGCAGGTTGTTCAGTTTCCATGTAGTTGAGCGGCTTTGAGGGAGATTCTTAATCCTGAGTTCTAGTTTGATTGCACTGTGGTCTGAGAGATAGTTTGTTATAATTTCTGTTCTTTTACATTTGCTGAGGAGAGCTTTACTTCCAAGTATGTGGTTAATTTTGGAATAGGTGTGGTGTGGTGCTGAAAAAAATGTATATTCTGTTGATTTGGGGTGGAGAGTTCTGTAGATGTCTATTAGGTCCACTTGGTGCAGAGCTGAGTTCAATTCCTGGGTATCCTTGTTGACTTTCTGTCTCGTTGATCTGTCTAATGTTGACAGTGGGGTGTTAAAGTCTCCCATTATTAATGTGTTGGAGTCTAAGTCTCTTTGTAGGTCACTCAGGACTTGCTTTATGAATCTGGGTGCTGCTGTATTGGGTGCATATATATTTAGGATAGTTAGCTCCTCTTGTTGAATTGATCCCTTTACCATTATGTAATGGCCTTCTTTGTCTCTTTTGATCTTTGTTGTTTTAAAGTCTGTTTTATCAGAGACTAAGATTGCAACCCCTGCCTTTTTTTGTTTTCCATTTGCTTGGTAGATCTTCCTCCATCTTTTCATTTTGAGCCTATGTGTGTCTCTACACATGAGATGGGTTTCCTGAATACAGCACACTGATGGGTCTTGACTCTTTATCCAACTTGCCAGTCTGTGTCTTTTAATTGGAGAATTTAGTCCATTTACATTTAAAGTTAATAGTGTTATGTGTGAAATTGATCCTGTCATTATGATGTTAGCTGGTGATTTTGCTCGTTAGTTGATGCAGTTTCTTCGTAGTCTCGATGGTCTTTACATTTTGGCATGATTTTGCAGCGGCTGGTACCGGTTGTTCCTTTCCATGTTTAGCGCTTCCTTCAGGAGCTCTTTTAGGGCAGGCCTGGTGTGACAAAATCTCTCAGCATTTGCTTGTCTGTAAAGTATTTTATTTCTCCTTCACTTATGAAGCTTAGTTTGGCTGGATATGAAATTCTGGGTTGAAAATTCTTTTCTTTAAGAATGTTGAATATTGGCCCCCACTCTCTTCTGGCTTGTAGGGTTTCTGCCGAGAGATCCGCTGTTAGTCTGATGGGCTTCCCTTTGAGGGTAACCCGACCTTTCTCTCTGGCTGCCCTTAACATTTTTTCCTTCATTTCAACTTTGGTGAATCTGACAATTATGTGTCTTGGAGTTGCTCTTCTCAAGGAGTATCTTTGTGGCGTTCTCTGTATTTCCTGAATCTGAACGTTGGCCTGCCTTGCTAGATTGGGGAAGTTCTCCTGGATACTATCCTGCAGAGTGTTTTCCAACTTGGTTCCATTCTCCCCATCACTTTCAGGTACACCAATCAGACGTAGATTTGGTCTTTTCACATAGTCCCATATTTCTTGGAGGCTTTGCTCATTTCTTTTTATTCTTTTTTCTCTAAACTTCCCTTCTCGCTTCATTTCATTCATTTCATCTTCCATTGCTGATACCCTTTCTTCCAGTTGATCGCATCAGCTCCTGAGGCTTCTGCATTCTTCACATAGTTCTCAAGCCTTGGTTTTCAGCTGCATCAGCTCCTTTAAGCACTTCTCTGTATTGGTTATTCTAGTTATACATTCTTCTAAATTTTTTTCAAAGTTTTCAACTTCTTTGCCTTTGGTTTGAATGTCCTCCCGTAGCTCAGAGTAATTTGATCGTCTGAAGCCTTCCTCTCTCAGCTCGTCAAAATCATTCTCCATCCAGCTTTGTTCTGTTGCTGGTGAGGAACTGCGTTCCTTTGGAGGAGGAGAGGCGCTCTGCGTTTTAGAGTTTCCAGTTTTTCTGTTATGTTTTTTCCCCATCTTTGTGGTTTTATCTACTTTTGGTCTTTGATGATGGTGATGTACAGATGGGTTTTCGGTGTGGATGTCCTTTCTGTTTGTTAGTTTTCCTTCTAACAGACAGGACCCTCAGCTGCAGGTCTGTTGGAATACCCTGCCGTGTGAGGTGTCAGTGTGCCCCTGCTCGGGGTGCCTCCCAGTTAGGCTGCTTGGGGGTCAGGGGTCAGGGACCCACTTGAGGAGTCAGTCTGCCCGTTCTCAGATCTCCAGCTGCATGCTGGGAGAACCACTGCTCTCTTCAAAGATGTCAGACAGGGACATTTAAGTCTGCAGAGGTTACTGCTGTCTTTTTGTTTGTCTGTGCCCTGCCCCCAGAGGTGGAGCCTACAGAGGCAGGCAGGCCTCCTTGAGCTGTGGTGGGCTCCACCCAGTTTGAGCTTCCCGGCTGCTTTGTTTACCTAAGCAAGCATGGGCAATGGCGGGCGCCCCTCCCCGAGCCTAGCTGCCGCCTTGCAGTTTGATCTCAGACTGCTGTGCTAGCAATCAGCGAGATTCCGTGGGGGTAGGACCCTCCGAGCCAGGTGTGGGATATAGTCTCATGGTGCGCCGTTTTTTAAGCCGGTCTGAAAAGTGCAATAGTCGAGTGGGAGTGACCCGATTTTCCAGGTGCGTCCGTCACCCCTTTCTTTGACTTGGAAAGGGAACTCCCTGACCCCTTGCGCTTCGCAGGTGAGGCAATGCCTTGCCCTGCTTCGGCTCGCACATGGTGCATGCACCCACTGGCCTGCGCCCACTGTCTGGCACTCCCTAGTGAGATGAACCCGGTACCTCAGATGGAAATGCAGAAATCACCATCTTCTGCGTCGCTCACGCTGGGAGCTGTAGACCGCAGCTGTTCCTATTCGGCCATCTTGGCTCCAAAAGAGGCCAGCATGTTTAATGTTTCCACATGATGAACATATAACTGATTACATTTTTCAGTTACTTTTTATGCTAGTGATTTTCATACCAGAAAATTTTGTTATTAGAATATATCTAAGAGAGGGAGGAGCCAAGATGGCCGAATAGGAACAGCTCCGGTCTACAGCTCCCAGCGTGAGCGACGCAGAAGATGGTGATTTCTGCATTTCCATCTGAGGTACCGGGTTCATCTCACTAGGGAGTGCCAGACAGTGGGCGCAGGTCAGTGGGTGCGTGCACCGTGTGCGAGCCGAAGCAGGGCGAGGCATTGCCTCACTCGGGAAGTGCAAGGGTTCAGGGAGTTCCCTTTCTGAGTCAAAGAAAGGGGTGACGGACACACCTGGAAAATCGGGAAACTCCCACCCGAATACTGTGCTTTTCCGACGGGCTTAAAAAACGGCGCACCACGAGATTATATCCCGCACCTGGCTTGGAGGGTCCTATGCCCACAGAGTCTCGCTGATTGCTAGCACAGCAGTCTGAGATCAAACTGCAAGGCAGCAGCGAGGCTGGGGGAGGGGCACCCGCCATTGCCCAGGCTTGCTTAGGTAAACAAAGCAGCCGGGAAGCTCGAACTGGGTGGAGCCCACCACAGCTCAAGGAGGCCTGCCTGCCTCTGTAGGCTCCACCTCTGGGGGCAGGGCACAGACAAACAAAAAGACAGCAGTAACTTCTGCAGACTTAAATGTCCCTGTCTGACAGCTTTGAAGAGAGCAGTGGTTCTCCCAGCTCGCAGCTGGAGATCTGAGAACGGGCAGACTGACTCCTCAAGTGGGTCCCTGACCCCTGACCCCCGAGCAGCCTAACTGGGAGGCACCCCTCAGCAGGGGCACACCAACACCTCACACGGCAGGATATTCCAACAGACCTGCAGCTGAGGGTCCTGTCTGTTAGAAGGAAAACTAACAAACAGAAAGGACATCCACACCAAAAACCCATCTGTACATCACCATTATCAAAGACCAAAAGTAGATAAAACCACAAAGATGGGGAAAAAACAGAGCAGAAAAACTGGAAACTCTAAAAAGCAGAGCGCCTCTTCTCGTCCAAAGGAACGCAGTTCCTCACCAGCAACGGAACAAAGCTGGATGGAGAATGACTTTGACGAGCTGAGAGAAGAAGGCTTCAGATGATCAAATACTCTGAGCTACGGGAGGACATTCAAACCAAAGGCAAAGAAGTTGAAAACTTTGAAAAAAAATTAGAAGAGTGTGTAACTAGAATAACCAATACAGAGAAGTGCTTAAAGGAGCTGATGGAGCTGAAAACCAAGGCTCGAGAACTACGTGAAGAATGCCGAAGCCTCAGGAGCCGATGCGATCAACTGGAAGAAAGGGTATCAGCAATGGAAGATGAAATGAATGAAATGAAGCGAGAAGGGAAGTTTAGAGAAAAAAGAATAAAAAGAAATGAGCAAAGCCTCCAAGAAATATGGGACTATGTGAAAAGACCAAATCTACGTCTGATTGGTGTACCTGAAAGTGATGGGGAGAATGGAACCAAGTTGGAAAACACTCTGCAGGATATTATCCAGGAGAACTTCCCCAATCTAGCAAGGCAGGCCAACGTTCAGATTCAGGAAATACAGAGAACGCCACAAAGATACTCCTTGAGAAGAGCAACTCCAAGACACATAATTGTCAGATTCACCAAAGTTGAAATGAAGGAAAAAATGTTAAGGGCAGCCAGAGAGAAAGGTCGGGTTACCCTCAAAGGGAAGCCCATCAGACTAACAGCGGATCTCTCGGCAGAAACTCTACAAGCCAGAATAGAGAGGGGCCAAATATTCAACATTCTTAAAGAAAAGAATTTTCAACCCAGAATTTCATATCTAGCCAAACTAAGCTTCATAAGTGAAGGAGAAATAAAATACTTTACAGACAAGCAAATGCTGAGAGATTTTGTCACCACTAGGCCTGCCCTAAAAGAGCTCCTGAAGGAAGCGCTAAACATGGAAAGGAACAACCGGTACCAGCCGCTGCAAAATCATGCCAAAATGTAAAGACCATCAAGACTACAAAGAAACTGCATCAACTACCGAGCAAAATAACCAGCTAACATCATAATGACAGGATCAGATTCACACATAAGTATATTAACTTTAAATGTAAATGGACTAAATTCTCCAATTAAAAGACACAGACTGGCAAACTGGATAAAGAGTCAAGACCCATCAGTGTGCTGTATTCAGGAAACCCATCTCACATGCAGAGACACACATAGGCTCAAAATGAAAAGATGGAGGAAGATCTACCAAGCAAATGGAAAACAAAAAAAGGCAGGGGTTGCAATCCTAGTCTCTGATATAACAGACTTTAAACCAACAAAGATCAAAAGAGACAAAGAAGGCCATTACATAATGGTAAAGGGATCAATTCAACAAGAAGAGCTAACTATCCTAAATATATATGTACCCAATACAGGAGCAACAAGATTCATAAAGCGAGTCCTGAGTGACCTACAAAGAGACTTAGACTCCCACACATTAATAATGGGAGACTTTAACACCCCACTGTCAACATTAGACAGATCAATGAGACAGAAAGACAACAAGGATACCCAGGAATTGAACTCAGCTCTGCACCAAGTGGACCTAATAGACATCTACAGAACTCTCCACCCCAAATCAACAGAATATACATTTTTTTCAGCACCACACCACACCTATTCCAAAATTGACCACATACTTGGAAGTAAAGCTCTCCTCAGCAAATGTAAAAGAACAGAAATTATAACAAACTATCTCTCAGACCACAGTGCAATCAAACTAGAACTCAGGATTAAGAATCTCCCTCAAAACTGCTCAACTACATGGAAACTGAACAACCTGCTCCTGAATGACTACTGGGTACATAACGAAATGAAGGCAGAAATAAAGATGTTCTTTGAAACCAACGAGAACAAAGACACAACATACCAGAATCTCTGGGACGCATTCAAAGCAGTGTGTAGAGGGAAATTTATAGCACTAAATGCCCACAGGAGAAAGCAGGAAAGATCCAAAATTGACACCCTAACATCACAATTAAAAGAACTAGAAAAGCAAGAGCAAACACATTCAAAAGCTAGCAGAAGGCAAGAAATAACTAAAATCAGAGCAGAACTGAAGGAAATAGAGACACAAAAACCCTTCAAAAAATCAATGAATCCAGGAGCTGGTTTTTTGAAAGGATCAACAAAATTGATAGACCACTAGCAAGACTAATAAAGAAAAAAAGAGAGAAGAATCAAATAGATGCAATAAAAAATGATAAAGGGGATATCACCACTGATCCCACAGAAATACAAACTACCATCAGGGAATACTACAAACACCTCTACGCAAATAAACTAGAAAATCTAGAAGAAATGGATACATTCCTCGACACATACACTCTCCCAAGACTAAACCAGGAAGAAGTTGAATCTCTGAATAGACCAATAACAGGAGCTGAAATTGTGGCAATAATCAATAGCTTTCCAACCAAAAAGAGTCCAGGACCAGATGGATTCACAGCCGAATTCTACCAGAGGTACAAGGAGGAACTGGTACCATTCCTTCTGAAACTATTCCAATCAATAGAAAAAGAGGGAATCCTCCCTAACTCATTTTATGAGGCCAGCATCATTCTGATACCAAAGCCTGGCAGAGACACAACCAAAAAAGAGAATTTTAGACCAATATCCTTGATGAACATTGATGCAAAAATCCTCAATAAAATACTGGCAAACGGAATCCAGCAGCACATCAAAAAGCTTATCCACCATGATCAAGTGGACTTCATCCCTGGGATGCAAGGCTGGTTCAATATACGCAAATCAATAAATGTAATCCAGCATATAAACAGAGCCAAAGACAAAAACCACATGATTATCTCAATAGATGCAGAAAATGCCTTTGACAATATTCAACAACCCTTCATGCTAAAAACTCTCAATAAATTAGGTATTGATGGGACGTATTTCAAAATAATAAGGGCTATCTATGACAAACCCACAGCCAATATCATACTGAATGAGCAAAAACTGGAAGCATTCCCTTTGAAAACTGGCACAAGACAGGGATACCCTCTCTCACCACTCCTATTCAACATAGTGTTGGAAGTTCTGGCCAGGGCAATTAGGCAGGAGAAGGAAATAAAAGGTATTCAATTAGGAAAAGAGGAAGTCAAATTGTCCCTGTTTGCAGACGACATGATTGTATATCTAGAAAACCCCATTGTCTCAGCCCAAAATCTCCTTCAGCTATAAGCAACTTCAGCAAAGTCTCAGGATAAAAAATGAATGTACAAAAATCACAAGCATTCTTATACACCAACAACAGACAAAGAGAGAGCCAAATCATGAGTGAACTCCCATTCACAATTGCTTCAAAGAGAAGAAAATACCTAGGAATCCAACTTACAAGGGATGTGAAGGACCTCTTCAAGGAGAACTACAAACCACTGCTCAGGGAAATAAAAGAGGATACAAACAAATGGAAGAACATTCCATGCTCATGGGTAGGAAGAATCAATATCGTGAAAATGGCCATACTGCCCAAGGTAATTTACAGATTCAGTGCCATCCCCATCAAGCTACCAATGCCTTTCTTCACAGAATTGGAAAAAACTACTTTAAAGTTCATATGGAACCAAAAAAGAGCCCGCATTGCCAAGTCAATCCTAAGCCAAAAGAACAAAGCTGGAGGCATCACACTACCTGACTTCAAACTATACTACAAGGCTACAGTAACCAAAACAGCATGATACTGGTACCAAAACAGAGATATAGATCAATGGAACAGAACAGAGCCCTCAGAAATAACGCCGCATATCTACAACTATCTGATCTTTGACAAACCTGAGAAAAACAAGCAATGGGGAAAGGATTCCCTATTTAATAAATGGTGCTGGGAAAACTGGCTAGCCATATGTAGAAAGCTGAAACTGGATCCCTTCCTTACACCTTATACAAAAATCAATTCAAGATGGATTAAAGACTTAAACGTTAGACCTAAAACCATAAAAACCCTAGAAGAAAACCTAGGCATTACCATTCCGGACATAGGCATGGGCAAGGACTTCATGTCTAATACACCAAAAGGAATGGCAACAAAAGACAAAATTGACAAATGGGATCTAATTAAACTAAAGAGCTTCTGCACAGCAAAAGAAACTACCATCAGAGTGAACAGGCAACCTACAAAATAGGAGAAAATTTTCGCAACCTACTCATCTGACAAAGGGCTAATATCCCGAATCTACAATAAACTCCAACAAATTTACAAGAAAAAAACAAAGAACCCCATCAAAAAGTGGGTGAAGGACATTAACAGACACTTCTCAAAAGAAGACATTTATGCAGACAAAAAACACATGAAAAAATGCTCATCATCACTGGCCATCAGAGAAATGCAAATCAAAACCACAATAAGATACCATCTCACACCAGTTAGAATGGCAATCATTAAAAAGTCAGGAAACAACAGGTGCTGGAGAGGATGTGGAGAAATAGGAACACTTTGACACTGTTGGTGGGACTGTAAACTAGTTCAACCATTGTGGAAGTCAGTGTGGCGATTCCTCAGGGATCTAGAACTGGAAATACCGTTTGACCCAGCCATCCCATTACTGGGTATATACCCAAAGGACTATAAATCATGCTGATATAAAGACACATGCACATGTATGTTCATTGCGGCATTATTCAGAATAGCAAAGACTTGGAACCAACCCAAATGTCCAACAAGGATAGACTGGATGAAGAAAATGTGGCACATATACACCATGGAATACTATGCAGCCATAAAAAATGATGAGTTCATGTCCTTTGTAGGGACATGGATGAAATTGGAAATCATCATTCTCAGTAAACTATCGCAAGAACAAAAAACCAAACACCACATATTCTCACTCATAGGTGGGAAGTGAACAATGAGATCACATGGACACAGGAAGGGGAACATCACACTCTGGGGACTGTTGTGGGGTGGGTGGGGGGGAGGGATAGCATTGGGAGATATACCTAATGCTAGATGACGAGTTAGTGGGTGCAGCACACCAGCATGGCACATGTATACATATGTATCTAACCTGCACAATGTGCACATGTACCCTAAAACTTAAAGTATAATAAAAAAAAAAAAAAGAAAAAAAAAAGAATATGTCTAAGAAAGCTAAGGCTCTAAATTTCTGGATAATTACCTCAGATCTTGACTTTACTTCATAATAAACTTATGTATAAGCCAAAAAAGCAGAAGTGTTAATTCATTGTGAATTGCTCATCTAGGAAAAATATAAAACATGGTCCCCTGAATTCAGTTAAAATACCCAAGCTTGGACTAATTAAAATGTTAGTAAGAGAGGACTTTTAAGGGAGAATATCTTTTCCAGAGAATAACCTTCAGAACTTCCAATCGTTCCCTCACATATCTTGTTTGCGGCTAATCAACTATTATAATCTATGATCTAAATGTAGAAAACTTAGGACTTAACCTATTGAGATATCAAGTTCAAAATATTTTTTGCCCATTTGTATAAAATATATTGTTAACTAGTTAATTAGAATTTATACATTGTTGTAGATAAGAATGATTCCATTATTTTATTTTATTATTTTATATTTTACTTTAAGTTCTGGGATACATGTGCAGAACATGCAGGTTTGTTACATAGGTGTAAGTGTGCTATGGTGGTTTGCTGCACCTATTGACCTGTCCTCTAAGTTCCCTCGCCATGGCCCCCATCCTCCCACAGGCCCTGGTGTGTGTTATTCCCCTTCTGGTGTCCATGTGTTCTCATTGTTCAACTCCCACTTATAAGTGAGAACATGCAGTATTTGGTTTTCTGTTCCTGAATTAGTTTGCTGAGGATAATGGTTTCCAGCTCCGTCCATGTCCCTGTAAAGGACATGATCTCATTCCTTTTTATGGCTGCATAGTATTCCTTGTTGTATATGTACCACATTTTCTTTATGCAGTCTATCATTGATGGGCATTCAGGTTGGTTCCATGTCTTTGCTATTGTAAATAGTGCTGCAATAAACATATGTGTGCATGTGTCTTTATAGCAGAATGATTTATATTCATTTGGGTATATACCCAGTAATAGGATTGCTGGGTCAAATGGTATTTCTGGTTCTAGATCCCTGAGGAATTGCCACACCATCTTCCACAATGGTTGAACTAATTTACATTCCCATCAACAGTGTAAAAGCAGTCCTATTTCTCCACAGCTTCACTAGCATCTATTGTTTCTTGACTTTTTAATAATCACTATTCTGACTTGCATGAGATAGTATCTCATTGTAGTTTTGATTTGCATTTCTTAACGATCAGTGATGTTGAGCGTTTTTTTTCATATGTTTGTTGGCCACGTAAATGTCTTCTTTTGAGAAGTGGTCTATTCATATCCTTTGCCCACTTTTGATGGGGTTGTTTGGTTTTTTGTTGTAAATTTGTTCAAGTTCCTTGTAAATTCTGGATATTAGGCCTTTGACATATGGGTAGATTGAAAAAATTTTCTCCCATTCCGTAGGTTGCCTGTTCACTCTGATGATAGTTTCTTTTGCTGTGCAGAATCTGCTTAGTACATTAGTACTTGTTGGCTCTAAATATACCTTTGAGATTGTAACTCACTGAGGTCTTTGATTTTGTTACTAACCACAGCATGGATGCCAGGCTATCTGCCTGATTGATATAGTTACTTAATAGCATTGTTAAGATAATTGCTTCCTCTCCTAGATTCTTCTGTACAAAAAAGAACAATGATATATACCTCATTAGCATTTTCCTGCTTATTGAAACAGTTAATATTTGAAAATATCAGATACAGAGTAACACATCACAGGCACTGACTGATGTTTGTTGTGATCCTAGGGACAAGAAGGGTGATGATGTCTTATCATTGGAATTTTATACTGTGAAATATTGTGGCGTGGGTAGACATGCAGTGAGAAGTATTAATCTGCAGGAAAAACCCCAGGAAAGCTTTCTGTTTAATGAAATAATTGTCCAAAAAAGCTTCCAGATATTATAATAAACATTTTATCAATATTAAATCTTGACAAGAGTCAAAAGACCTGTGCTGGAGCTCAGAAGTGTTAATTTCAATCCACGTAACCCCAGATGAGCGGCTTGACCTTTTTGACCTTCCATTGTCTTTTCTGTTAAATGAATATAATAATATCTGCCCTACTCAACTCAAGGGATCATTATCAAAATAAATAAAATTTTATCTGAAAGAATTGTATGAACTGTCAAAAGCTTATTAATACTTTATAACCTATTATGTACTTATTTTCCCTATTTATGTTCCAGGTTTCTTTTAAAAATAACTTTATATTTCCTGTTTTGCTAAAAAAAAGACTGTTAGTTTTTTGCTGATACATCAGTTCATGTGAGGAAAAATGCAATTTGACTGTGTTAGCTGAAACTATTACTGTAATTCTCCTTCACCAGAACAACCTAAGGAATGCATTCTATCAGATTATCCCCAAAGAGTTGGAGAATGGATGTCTCCACAGTGAGAAGATGAGATCATTTTCCTTTGTGTACCTCATAGGATTCAGTCCAGAATGGATCTTCCAGTTCTTGGAACAAAATCGCAGAATTAGAAGTAAGGTAGTAACCTTTTCCAATGCTTCCACTGAGCTTCTGAGAGGTATAAGTTAAGAGGAACGAAGTAAATTGTAGGAATGCTATTTCAACCTCAGGGTAAATACTTAGGGAATCATGTACTGCCTCTCTCTACCACACGGAGGAGATTGGTTCCACTTTAACGAGCCAGGAAAACACATTTTCCAACTCATGTAAACTCAGGAGGATTCCTTTGAAGGTTGATCAGGGCTTACTGCAAAGCTCATGGAGAAATAAGTGCTATTTTGTGTCACATTCTGTACTAATAAAATTTTAACATCAGATGTCATTTAACTTTTAATGGGTATGCACTTTTATTATCAGACTTTTGCTAGTCTATATATTTTAAGAAGATTCTTTTTCTTCTGTACATTTTAAGAAGATATTCTATACATTTTAAAAGTTGTTTGCTATTTATACATTTTAAGAAGATTTTTATGAAAATACATATTTTAAGAAATTATCTTTGTACAAAATAAGTCTGGAGTCAGATTGACTTGATTTTAAATCATGCCTCTGCCATTTACTAGTTGTGTGACCTTGTGCAAGTTATTTCACTTCTCTGAACTTTAGTCTCTTCATCCGCAAATAAAGAAAAAATAACAGGAGTGCTCATACAGCTGTATGAGGATAAATCAGACAATTCAGGTAAAGTATGCAGCACATTCCCGGGCTCATAATTAGTGCTCAATGCAAATTCCATGTTACACTTTAGCAAGTTTTTGCTTACGTCAGCTTAAGGGAAGCATTCCTTTTTTAAAAATTATATTTATTTATTTATTTATTTTTGAGATGGAGTCTCGCTCTGTTGCCCAGGCTGGAGTGCAGTGGTGCCATCTCGGCTCACTGCAACCTCTGCCTTCAGTGTTCACACCATTCTCCTGCCTCAGCCTCCTGAGTAGCTGGGACTACAGGTGCCCGCCACCACGCTCGGCTACATTTTGTGTTTTTAGTAGAGACGGGGTTTCACCGTGTTAGCCAGGATGGTCTCCATCTCCTGACCTCGTGATCCGCCCACCTCGGCCTCCCAAAGTGCTGGGATTACGGGCGAGAGCCACCGTGCCCGTCCGGGAAGTATTCCTTTTAGATGTCAATTACTTGTTTGCTTTTCTCATTCTTTCGTCAAAGTAGCCACCATTTTCTTTTTTTCTACTTACTATTACTGGTATTCACAACCACTAACTAGCCTAAAATAAGTTATTTAAACAGGTAACATTCTGAACTAGCTCTTTTCTATCTTTAATTTTGTGATGAAGTATTAGAAATGAACTCACACTATTCTCCCACTCCAGTGGAATCTACAGAGAACACATTACAAAAACCTTCTTTTACTTTTGTATATTCCTGTTCCCTGTTTATGTATTCATTGTATAGGTTGGTTCATCTTTATTATAAAACCCTTAAATTACCATTCACATTGGAATTAAAGCAAAATGTCAAAGGCATTTACATTTCAAAACTAGATATTACACATGTACGATTAATTTCAGAACATTAAAAATAAAGGAAAATCACATTAGTGTTAAAATCCTAGACATAGCAATAAAAGAAGCTGGCAAAATAAGCTATTTGTGTGGTTATAAGCATTAGTCAGAGCATGAGGCAAAAAGTTCTACCTATGGAGAGACTGTTGGGGGTCCCCTGTTGAATGAATGGGGTGTGAGAAAATAAATTAGGTTGAAGCAAATAACAAAAATGAAGCATTCCTCCCCATTTCATTTTCAGACCGATTATAAATTGTCTTTAATCATAATCTCCAGTATTAGAAATTTCATCAGTTTATTTTTATCATGTGCTAGCATGGTCTTGCTCCTTCCTGGGAATAAATGAGCTGTTTTAGCCCAAGCCTTTTCATTTTGTGAAATTACCATTCCTTTTGCATCTCTCCTGCTGCTCCATATCACTACAGAATATTTGTTAAGCACAGGAAAAATTCATGTTTTCCTCTGAATGTCAGGTATAATATGGAAGAAGGACTAATGAAAAACATTTTTCATGCTTATTCAACAGTGACCGTTAAAATGAAATGAATGAAATGCTTTTTGCCCAAACTGAAACCTGCCCAAATGTTTCTGTAGAGACTCTTTTTTTCCAACAAAATAAGCTGACCTCCCATTTGTTTAGATAACAGTTTCTAAAATTTCCCCAGGAGCAAGTTATTTGGGTGGTAAGCTCAACATGTTGCTGAGGTCTTCGCAGCAGCATTAACCATCTGGACTGTGAAAGAATTGGTCTAATTTGAGGTAAGGAGCAAAGGCTCTATGATGCAATCTGTCACCCTATGTCACTCGCAATCCAAACTGTCTCTGGATTGGCTCCTGGATGAAGCAGAAAAGCAGATGGGGCTCAGAGTGGTAAGACGGGGCCCGAGATTTCTTGTTTCTTCTCTCAGTGGTGTTCAGTCCATTCTTATTTTATCAGAGAACAGGTCTCTGTGATAGGACTACTTCACTCCAATCCACATTCTGAACACCCTGACTCAGGGTGCTGATCCAGGCTGGGAGCTGCAGACAGGCCTTAACATGAAGGGAGAGGTGGAGATGTGAGAAACTGGCCCAGAGGCTGCTGAGCACTTGAGAAAAATTGGAGCCATATCCTTCACAGTCAAGTAGGAATAAGATAAACAGTCCTGGCAGAGGCAGTGGGCACTAAGAGGAAACTAGGTATAGATAATGCGTTTGGAAACAAAGAGCGAGTAGATTTAGACTGGAGTGTGGAAGGCAGACTCTACAGTGATTCCCCAGTCTCAGGGCATCTGTGGGTAAGGAGATGGTTAACATAATCAAGAATTTTAGTGGCAAGATCATGATCAATGTAAATGAGACTTCTTAAAACCCAACTTTTTGGCCATTTCACACCTGCCCCTGTACCTACGCTGTCGACCATGGCTGGAGAAAAACATCCAGCAATGCTGATTGGCCTAACTTCAAGTTCATGATCACTAACAAATGTCCCCCAGAGCAGTCTGGAAATCGTGTTCCATCCCCTAGTTCATTCACTCTCCTACAACACGCTAGACAACAAGCTTGCCTCTCTCTTCTCAAACCTCTTTCATTCTAACTCTAGATGGTGACTTTGCTTCTATTTCACTGAGAAAACAGAAGCTATCAGAAAGATGTCCCCCTGGTTCCTATCATCACGGTTTCCCACCTACTCGCATTTGTGCCCAGATATTTTGACTTCTCTCCATTTCAATGGATGAAACTATGATGCTCTTCTCAGAGAGAAACCCCCCACCAAAGTGTCAGAACCCATTTCTTGTCCTTTACTAAACATATCACCCCAGGAATATCCCCTGCCTTGCCTGCGTATTCCTCGATTCTCTCTCTGTTGGATTGGTCTCATCAGCATACAGACATACTAAATTTCTCCCACATCCTGCTCCAATTACCACCCATTTTTCTGCTCCTGAAGAACTCTAATTGGCTTTCCTCTCTGCCATTCCACAAAATAGCTTCTGTTGAGGTTAGCAATGACCTCCATGTTGCTAAATTCAATGGCCAATTATCAGTCCTCATCTAACTTGGTGTATTAGGAGGACTGGGCCATGTTGATTACTCTCTCCTTTATACATTATTTACACTTCATTTATGCAACACTGCACATTGCTGTTTTTTTCTCCTGATTCATAGTTGCTTTATCTTAAGATCCTTTGCTTGTCCTATTCATTTACCAAAATTGTAAAAGTTTAAATGCCCTAGATCTCAGCCCTCAGTCCTTGAACTTTTTCTTTGTTTCTTTCTTTTTTTTTTTTTAAATCTACACATGCTTTTTAGGTATCTCTCTATGTTATATGGCTGTAAATACTGTCACTATGTGGATGATACCTACATTTATCTATCTTTTGAACTCCACGCTCATATACCCAACTATCTACCCAACATCTCAAGTTGGGCGTTCCATGGAAATTTTAGATTCAGTGTTTCAAAACCAAACTCTTGATATTCCCATTAAATGCACTACTTCTGAAGTCTTCTCTGCTCAGTAAATGGGAAACTCCATCCTTCCAACTTACCTCCTCTCTAAAATCCCCCATTCGAAATTGATCAGTAAATCCTATTGCTCCTACCTTCAAAATATATTCAGAATATGTCTTCAGCTACCAACATGGTTCAAGCAGTTGTCATCATCTTTTCTGGCTAACTGCAATTTTCTCTTACCTGGCCTCACTGCTTCTACCTTTGCCCCAAATAGTAAACATTACTGGTGCTCAATGAAATTTAGTTTTCCATTTCTCCTGGGAGAACTATATTTTCTGGGGCTTCTGATTAGTTGTTGACAATGGACTGTGAGTGGAAGAAAAAGTCCTGGCCGGGTGAGGTGGCTCATGCCTATAATCCCAGCACTTTGGGAGGCTGAGGTGGGCGGATCACAAGGTCAGGAGTTCAAGACCAGCCTGACCAACATGATGAAACACCATCTCTACTAAAAATACAAAATTTAGCCAGGCGTGGTGGTAGGCGCCTGTAATCCCAGCTACTTGGGAGGCTGAGGCAGGAGAATCACTTAAACCTGGGAGACGGAGGTTGCAGTGAGCCGAGATTGGGCCTTTGCACTCCAGCCTGTTCGACAGAGCAAGACGCTGTCTCAAAAAAAAAAAAAAAAAAAAAGGAAAGAAAAAGAAGAAGAAGAAAAAGTCCCCTGTGGACCTTCCAGTTCACTTTCCCCTTCTCAGTGAATATGCCAACTGAGTGTTGAAATAGTAGAGCCACAACTAGAGGCCACCTGGGTCACTGAGTCACCATGCAGGGGGACTCTGCAGGGCTACTCACCATGCAGGGATGCTCTGTCTAGAGCGTCACTGGACTTAACATTTATTTAGAAAGAATGTATATCAAGTCATGGCTTCCTATCTGACTTAGAGTAAAAATCAAGGTCCTTACAGTAGCATTCAGGCCCTATCCAATTTTTACCATGACCTCCCTGCCCTTTTATCCTAAGTATTTTATTTTCTTAGGAGTGATTATAAATGGTATTATGTGTTTAAGTTTCTGCATGTTTATTGTTAGTATGTAGAAATATAATTTATTGTTGTGTGTCGATCTTAAAATCTCCTACTCAAATGCTAACCAGGCCAGACCCTCCTTAGCTTCTGAGATCAGACAAGGTCTGGCATGCTTAGGGTGATATGGCCATCAACACTGCTCTTATCTCCTTTTACTCTCCACTTAGTTTACTCTGCTCCTGACATACCTGCCTCTGGGTTAATCTTAGGACACTGTGCACATTTCTGCCTCAGAGCTTTTGCACTTACTGTTTGCTTTGCATGTGGTGTTTTCAAGATATCTGTATGGCTTGCTTTCTCATCTTCCTTAGGTCTTTTCAGGAAGGATACCATCCTGGAATGGCAAACAATCTATTTAAAATCTGCCTACCCTTGGAATTCTCCAACCTTTTTTTGTGCTTTAGTTTTCTCTTAGTATGTATCGCCATCTGTCATATTATACATTTTACTTTTAACTTTGTAGTCTGTCTTCCCAAATTAGAACATCATCACTGCAAGGATATTTATCTCTCTCTTTTTTCCTCCACTAATCTGTTATCAGTAACTAAGACAGTGCCTGATACATAGTAGGCAAACAATAAATATTTGTGGCATAAATGAATGAATGAATGAAATTATTTTCTCCTGTTGCAAACTCTGAAGATGGCAAATGTTTATGTATGTGCTAAAAATGGAATGTGTACAACATAACCTCAGAAATTCACAACCTGGACTACCTACAATATAAAGGTAATATGCAAGGAGTTACCAATGGGAATCAGATCACACATGTAGCAAACCAAAGAGTGCAAAATATAAATGCTTAACTACTTACAATTAAAATGAACAGCAGTAGGAAAGGACTTAATTTTTTTTCTATAATTGAATCTATTCATTTTAATAAAATACCTACAATGAAATCTGGAAAGGATATTACACAGCCCATTAGTATGTAATAATCGATGCATAAAATGTATTGAACGATAGAGTAGGGAACATTGTGGAGATTGTATTTGTGGTGTGTGTATTTAAGGGGTGGTCAATAACTGATTATGAATGTCCACTGAATGTCACTCACTCCCAGTTATTTGCTATTTACACAGAGTTATTTTAATATTCACAGTTTAATTAGGGAAGTTCAAGACTTTAATGTGAAAAATGACTAAAGTTCTTGGAAATATAACATAATGCCTAAAGTATAAGGTTTTATTAAATAAAGACTTTTCATATATATACACACATATATATTCCTAAAAGTGTTTAATGAAGTTAGGGCAATGTGCTAAAGGATGGCAGTGGCATATGAGCAGCCTGCTTAGAAGTAACCATTGGGAAAGTCTTGCTTGAACATTTTTCTTGGGTTTTATTTGGGTTCCAAGCTGACTGGAAACTGTGCACTTGGGTTGCATGGAAAATCAGACTAGGTAGCACAAGTGTCTTCTGCATAGGACATGAGACTAGGTTTTTGCAGCCCACCAGCCCAGAATCTACTTCTGACCAGCACTGTCCTTATATTCAGAGACCAATTTTCAGAGACCAGATGGATTTTTCAATTGTTAAGGATTTGGAAAGAAAAATATGCCCTTGGAACTTTTGAAGTATGAGCTATTTGTTAGCCAAAAAAGCAATGTGTATGTTTTAGAGAATTAAGGTACAAGGCAATGTGGGAGCAGCAGAACACCTGCGTTCTAGACTTTCCTCTGCAATAAACAAAAATGACACCAGTTTTCTGAGCACTTTTTCTTTTTCTTTTTTTTTTAAACAAAACAGGATGCAATGGCTATTCTGACTAATGCTGGGGATTTTGTGAGCTTGAAACAAGATAATGAATATGAAGGGTTATAAACCAATCGGTAGAAAAATTCAGAAGGATAATATATGTTATTTATAGTTGAAGATCCCATTGATCCAGCTACCTCTCAGAATGGACTTTTCCATTAAACCTAGACAGAGCCTGGTTGTCTTTACTCCATACACAATAATTTATGTGATAATTTAGGGAGAATGCTAGAGACTGTTTAGGATATGATTATAATATTCGACATCATCCTTTGAATTTAGGACAGATAGGATTTTCAAGAACAAATGAAATCTTAAGGTGTGTCTATTTATATTAACAAATTGATCATTTTATCTTTTGCTTCATTTTGTTTTGTTCCTAATTATGGTTAATTGCTGACCAATCAATATGATCTACTGTCATTCAGGTATGTTTAATTACCCAAAATTGTTTTATGCACAGACACTATCAATTAAAATCATTTTTACACTTAAAGAAAATTTAAAGTAAGATTATAATTGGGAAACACCTACCCAATGAGAAAAACTACAACCTCCAATATGTTACATAAAAATATTCAAGAGAAGAGTTGCTGAAATTTGGAACTTACATTATGTCACCGATGTTAGTGTAAAATTTAGATAATTAGTGGAAAGTTTCTCTGTAGGGAATTTGTGTCTAGCCATGGAGATATATATATATATATATATATATATATATATATATACATATATATATATGTGTGTATTTTCTGCAAAAAAAAGTGCTCAGAAAACTGGTGTCATTTTTGTTTATTGCAGAATATATATATATATATATATATATATATATATATATATTCTGAAGTCTTTAGAAGAGGGGCAAATAAAAATTATATTCCTAACAGCAAGAAAAATGATTTAAATTATTTTTCCCCATTTTCCCCATTTGTTCTTTAGTCTGGCATAACTTTTATCCCCTTCCTTCATTTTCTGCCTTTCTAGATCTATTTTTTTGTGCAGAAAGCTTTTTTCCTTTTCTAATGTACACATGTCAGACTTTTCTTAGTTTCTTTCTATTCTCCTTCGATCATTAGAACGACAGGTTCAAGAGCAGAGTCAAACTTACACAGAAACGTCAAGGACAGCAGAAGTGACTCCATTCCTTAGATAATGGCTCTTCTACAATTGGAAGTCTATAAATAGAAACAGATTTTTTAAAAGAGATGCTGAAAACCTGAAAATTTTGCATTAGATCCTCATAACTGTCCTCTTTACCTGCGCATGTTCTTTACCTGCAAACTGACCTTGCACATAATCTTAGTCTCAAACTGTTGTTCATTCATCTGGATAAATATCCATACTGTGCAAACGATGGCTGCCAACCTGCAGGAGCAACACCCCTTCTTTCAAGAATCATCTCTTGGCAGCAACAGACACTGGGGATTACTAGACGGGGGAGGGAGGGAGGGGAATAAGGGTTGAAAAACTGACTGTTGGGTACTGTGCTCACTAGGACCGATTATACCCCAAAACCCAGCATCATGCAACTTACTCATGTAACAAACATAAACATGTACCCCCTGAATTTAAAATAAAAGTTGACACTATTAAAAAAATTTTTAAAAACTTAAAAAATTTCTGAACAAATAAATTCAATGATTTTGAGAAAGTTGACAAAAACAAGAATCATCCTTGACCAACTATTTTTAAAGCTAGATGAAATTTAGTTGACCTTTCCTCCTAACCTTAAACAAAATGATGCCTTCTTTCCTTATATTAGAAAATTCTTTTAGAGCCTTTTTATGGCTGATGTTTTTGAACATAGGTCTATGTTAATGATGCATTGGTTGATTTTATATCCTGTGCTTATCTAAACACAGTGGAAGCCACAGAAGTAATTCCATGATGAGTGCCATAGGCTGGATAATGGCCCCCAAGGATAAGGAGGTCCTGATCCTGGGAACCTGTGAATGGCAAAAATGATTTTGCATATGTGGAAAGATAAAGGATTTTGAGATGGGGCAGTTATGTCGGGTTATCAGTATGGGCCCAAATATAATAACAGGAGTCCTTATGAGAAAGAGGCAGAGAGGGAATTTACACTGAAGATAAGAAGACAATGTGACCATAGAAGCAATGGCAATATCTCTCAAAACATCCTTTCCTAGCCGTGACCACTGCCAACTCTTATGTTGGCAGCTTCTAATTAGTGCTCTTGAGTCACTGTGATTATTTTTCCCTTGTGACCCTATGATCAGACCCTTCTCTGTTCAGTCTCTCCTGCCAACAGCTGCTAGATCACTCTTCAGAAGATGTTGCCTGCATCACACAAGTCCCTGCTGAAATCCACAGTGGCTCCCCACTGCCAAAGACTGGAGTGATGCAATCACAAGCCAAGAAATGCTGGCAGCCACCAAAAACTGGAAAAGGCAAGGAACAGATTCTCCCCTACAGTCTACAAAAGGAGTGCAGCCCTCCTGACACCTTCATTTTGGCCCAGTAAAATAGATTTTGAACTTCTAACCTCCAGAACTGTAAGAATAAATGTACAGTATGTTAAGACATCAGGTTTGTGGTTATCTATTGCAGTAGCCATATGAAACTAATTTGTAGAAAGTCCTATTAAATGGCAAACCAAGTATTTAGGAGATTGGATATTTATGAAATTGACTACATAGCTAGGGATGTTCTTTATCACTTGCACATATTTCTATTTCTTTTCACATTGACTCAGGTGCACTTATTTATTTGTCTCTAAGAGACAAAGGCAATAAATTGCTTTTCATATTTTGTAGAACCTAGTCTAAAAAATGTTCTTACATACAAAATACCTAGGCCCATTGCAAGAGGAGAAAGTGATATATTATATTACTAATCATCAGCATCATCTCCTTGAAGCCAGGCAGAGCCATGTGGCTTGCTTTTCTTAGTGGAACATAACAGGAAGTCTCGTGTCCCTTCTATGCAGAAGCTGTAGACACAGTGTGTGTTTTCCCTTCTCTCTTCCTTCTGCAGCAGCTATCAGCAGTGACCCTGAGTGAGGCTTTTAAGGAGGAGCAGAGACCAGCTGACCACCATGGACAGGTAGTGTATGTGGGCAACAGAAACAACAACAAACACTTTGGTGTTTTATGCATAGGAGATCTGGGGACTCTGTTACTATTGCACAATTTATACCATCTCAACTGATTTGCAGAAGTAGCCTTTCGTGTCCCCAAATCACTTCCCCAGTTGGTAATTCTAGAAACTTCTCAATTTTTTTTTTCAACTGAAAGATGTCCTATCAACTTTTCCTTCATAATATCTCTCAATACATCCTTTTCTAGTGACATGGTTTGGCTGTGTCCCCACCCAAATCTAATCCCGAATTGTAATCCGAATTGTAATCCCCACGTGTTGAGGGAGGGACCTGGTAGAAGGTGATTGGATCATGGGGACAGTTTCCCCCATGCTGTTCTCGTGATAGTGACTGAGTTCTTATGAGATCTGGTTGTTTGATAAGTGTCTGGCGCTTCCCCCTTTCTCTCTCTTTCTCTCCTGCTGCCACTGTAAGATACATCTTACTTCCCCTTCACCTTCTGCCATGATCATAAGTTTCCTGAGGCCTTCTCAGCCATGTGTAACTGTGAGTCAATTAAACCTCTTTTGTTTATAAATTATCCAATCTCAGGTATTATCTTTATAGCAGTGTGAAAACGGACTAATGCACCTGACCAGGTGTATTAGACTGCCGCCAATGTTCAGCAACTTCTCAGTAGTGCTCTTTAGCCACTACGATTATTCTTCCCTTGCAACCCTATGTTCAAACCCTTCTCTGTTCAGTCTCTCCTGCCAACAGCTGCCAGATCACTCTTCAGAAATGTTGCCCGCTTCACGTAAATCCCTGTCGAGATCCACAATGGCTCCCCACTGCCAGCAGAGTAAATACTCCATTCTCACCCTTTCATCGAGTAGTTGTAGCTTTCAGTTTCAATTTTATCATCCTCTGCACCATATCATTTCTTCTCTACATCAGCCAGGAAAGTATCTTCCCATCAATGAACTGTGTCACACGCCTTTAGTTTTTAGTTCTGTGTTTTGAATAATATTTGTTATCCTGTTGTGTTTAATCCTAATTATTGAACATCACCTAGTACTGTAATATTTTAAATTTCATTTGAAATATTAGGTAAAGGCTTTCTAGTTAAACAGTTGATCTTTCTTTTTCTTTCTTTCTTTCTTTTTTTTTTTTTTTTTTTTTGCCTGGGTAAAAAAAGAAAGACAGCTGGTCTGCAGATCAAACTCTTTCTGGACTTAGAGCCATTTATCAGCCTTATATGCGAATGGCCCTTTCATTTCATGTAATCACAGTGCATATAGATACGATTGATTAGAGCTGCCACAAATTATCTCTATGCTTAATTTATTCCTAATCTAGTTCTCTATTTATGCATCTAAATGACAAATACTAAACACAGAAGAAAAAAGTTTGTGTTCATTAAATTGAAATATGATTTGTTATATACCTTGTGAAGTTTAGTGGCCTTTAGCTAGAGTCTATTTTTGATTGAACAAAGGGCTTAATTATTATAACCAACACCCTTTTAGCATTATCTTCCCTTTGAAATATGGCAGTTAAAAATTTCAGTCCAAGCAATTACTTATTTGTTAAAAAAACAGGCTACCTTTGAGGCTTGCATTAAAAATGATAAAAATTAGCCATCTAAAACCATTTCAATTTTATGAAAAATAAAACTGAGTGCAATGTTTCAGCTTGAAAGCTCAGATGATCTTTAAGGGAAATTAGTGATGTTGCTAATAGTGGTTTCAATTTATAATACAGTAGACGGAGGCAATCAAAGAGGCAAAAACAAGATAAATCATCTTTAAAATGGAACAATTAAATAAAGATCAGTTGTGACAAAATTATAAGATAACATTCCCAGACTTGGAAAGGCAATGTCTTTCTTTTTGTTAATTAGAGACAATCTGTATTTTACAATATGTAACAATTTACAAGGCAAGGGTGTGTTTTCTGCTGACATAAAATGAATGCATTTCCAGACTTCTATTCAACAGGGAAAGTGGCTAGGGTGATAATTTCTCATTTCTCTAGGTACAACTTTTATAATCTCCAGGCTCTCCATCATTTTCTTTTTGAAATTAAACTGCATATATACACCATGTGCATCAAAGCTCAGGCTAGAGCAATATATATTTTTTCATTTGGCACAGATCTTAAAATACCTGTTTATTTACACATATAGCTGAGTGTAAATATGAAATAATAAAATGTCACAGAGTTCTCTCTGTGCAGTTATATTCCTCTTCATAATACTCATGCCCGTATTTTAAACCTTATGAAATGAATATTATATTTTGTGAATTTAACAGATGTTGAATGTGTTGCTGTTACCTCATTTACATATACAGACTAGAATGTTTTACTTTGTTATGCACTAGCTTGATCCCTTAATTTTGATAATCTCAAACTGTTTTTATGAGATTTACAAGAAAAAATAGTTATTTCATCAAGAAAGTCATTGACATAATATGCATCTATTCATACATAGAATAAAATTTGATTATATATATATATATATAAAACTGTATTCTCTGTCCCATTATAAAGAGTCAGAATGATAATGTTAGAGCTTTCTTGATTCATATTGCTTTAAAATTCATGCAAACGGGCATAAATACTGGTTTTGCACTTTTGTTTAGCATTTTCATGCATATTTATTCCCACATAAGTAAATATTTCTCACTTTCAAATTCCTTTTCTTCTTTCTGAGAAATTAACAGGCCAGGAAATCAAACTGTAAGCAAAATAAATTCCTAGTCTCTGCTGCACTTACTTTATTGGGGAATTAAGTGTTGCTTTTTAGTATTACCCTTCTCTTCCCGGGATATAGTAGCCATGAGGAAAACAATGAGGGCTACCCTTACAGCACCGGACTCCAGATGGTCTTCAGTGCATTCTTTGGGTAGCAGCTCCCCAGGAGCCCTCTCCCAACCCAGCCCCAGTGGTGTCCCTCCCTGGCTATTTCTCTTGTATGGTGTCTTGATGATATGTATTTTTGCCTCTTGCATTCCTGTTCCTCAGTCGGAGCCCCCAGGTGTTTCTGTTCTTCAGAGATCCCCAAATATTTTAGGTAGAGGGAAAATTTCTAAGAACAGGGTCCTCTTAACAGTCATTGCAACTAAAAGTATAAAAGGAAGCTGGACTAGAATGGGGGCACACACTAGCCACGAACACTACATTTTAGTGCTGTTGCTTCACTCACTGGTAAAACATGGCGCAGTGCATGTTTGAGTATGGGCAGAAGGTTGTCTGCCACAAAAAATGCCTTCTACTCCACATACATGAAACTCCCAAGAAAATTAGTAGTTTGTCCTCATCAAGACAGTGGAAAGACAGCATAGTGTAAGGGCCTGAGTGAAGCTTTTAGGAAGCAACTGATCACAGTTCCACAACTTGGGTGCTATGCAGCTTTGGCAAACTCACTAATGTCTTTCAACCACCTGGCATCTACACTGAAAGATAGTTTTTAGGATCAAATCTGTTATTTGTAAAGTGTTTGCTAGGGTATGTAGCACATTATAGGTATTCAATAAATTATATGTGTACATTTACACACATACACCCAAATATTTGTATATGATTTTATAAATCTAAAGACTGATATTCCCCAAACTATATTCTATTGAAAGCCATTTTCAACAATTTACCTGAGAAAAATTACTTCCACTATTGGGAAAATAGTATACTTCACTGGGGGATAAAACTGAGGTTGAAAGAGACTACTGACTAACTCAAAACCTATAATTAATGAATGGCAGAGATGAAATTTGTAGTCTAGAGCAGGGGTTGCAAATTACTATCTGCCAGCAAAATCCAGCCAGCTGTCTGTTTTATAAATAAAGTTTTATTGGAACACATGCCCATTCATTATTATTGTCTATGGCTGGCTCTGTGATACAATGGCAGACCCCAGTAGTTGCTACAGAGACAAAATGAACTGAAATCTTAAAATATTTGTGATCTGACTTTTAAAGAAAATGAATGCCTGCTGACACTTGGTCTAGAATAGACTGGAATAGGAATGAGGTATAGTGAACAGACATTGGAATAAGCCCTAATATCACCAATTTTCAGTGAGACCTCAAGTAATTCAACTGTTCTGGACTTCAGCTTCTCACGTATACAAACCCCAACCCTGTATTTCAACTTGATTAACCACTGTGGTACATATTTAGCTGCATATTTAAATGCTCAGTAAGCATCTGAGTATTATATCCTTAGGAGCAAAACTTTGCAATGAATTGGAGTGGTTATAGTAATTCGTTTTCAGTTTCTGCCTTACCATTCACTTCTACACATATTTTACTGCTGGCTTATATCTTGAAAGTTCTCTTGGGCACCAGTATTAGTTGGTGATGCTCCCAAATATTACTGTTCTTCATCCTAAGACTCTATTAAAATTGAGCTGCCAGCCTTCTTTATCTGTTTGTAGTTTTCTCTGGAGACTCTATATCAACAATGGCACAGTGTGATCAGAACGATGCATTATCACAAAGTCAAATCAATCTAAGGCAAATGAAGAGTGAAAGAGATTGATAGACTCATGACTTATACCACATGGTAACCTGGTGATTTGCAGTTTCCATTTAAACGGGAAGTGTCCTCGAGATTGGAAGACTCCATGCACCCTTGTGATAATTTTGCTGTGGAAAATATTTACTGTTCTGCCTTTGGCCTCTTTTCTGGACAAATGGGATTGCATGTTACATACCTGATTTCAGATTATTTAAAATTTTCTGAATTTAGGGCTACTTCCCCTTTCTTTGCAATTCATTATAAATAAATTTGCACAACATCGAGGGCAGGTGCAAATTTATTTATGTCATTTGTTTCTTTGAAATAAAATAAAACTGCTCCTCCTTCACAGAACTTTAGATAAAAGACACCTGTTTCTGATGACTTTTGCCTGGTTGCCAGGCAAAAGAAATTGCAAAAGAAAAATTGAGTTCTGGCATCATCACCAACAGTGTGACCTCAGCCAAATTACTGAGTTCCTCTCAATTTCCTTATATATAAGATGGAGATTTAAAAAATAAGCTAGTGACTTTCTCACATGCTTATTCTGAGAATTAAATGCAAAAATGCATGTAAAGTGCTTAGCACAAATGTCTAGCAAAGAATAAGCACCCAATATATCTCAGAACATGACATGCTTTCTCAATTCTTTAGGATTTGACATTGCTGCAGTGGCCAAAGTAATTTCTTTTTTCATGTAAAATTTACCTGGGGGAAGGGACTGAACAATGTATCTTTGGTTGATGTAGAAAGATTGAAGAGATAGGACATTATTTATTTTTTTAACCAACAAAATCCAGATTGAAATTACCCCTGTCATCTTTGCCATTACAGTGATAGATATTTGCCTTATGCATAAATACCTGAAAGAGTGAAGTGTAGAGTATCAGAAAATTTATTGTTGTACATAATTTATCAAGAATTTTCAAAATCCTTTTAAAAACCAGAGTTTCTTAATCTGGGGTTCCACCGACTGGCTTTCTGGGGATCCATAAAACCCCTGAAATTTTATATAGCATTCTCTGTTTACATTCATTTTCTAGAGAGAAGTTTCATAGCTTTAATGAGATTCTTGCTGTGGTCTTTGATCTGTAGATCAAAGGCAAAATTCTTAGCAGGATCCAGAGGCTCAAGAAACTTTAGAATTTAGTGAGTATATAACCATGGCTAAGAACTTCTCACTTTACAATAGTTTACTTCTTCTTTTTTTTTTCAGGTAAAGCTAATGAAAAAGCACTATGCAATGTGTAAAAGGTAACAAAACTGCTTAATAAGATAAATAATTACATATTTGTGGCACTGATGAGCCAGCTAAGTATGTTCAGGTGACACTTCTGTGGAGGGAAAACTAATTTATTATAATTTAATAGCACTTTACAATAGATGTGTAACAAACCAGGTAATAAAACATAAACAGTAGAAGCCTTTTAGCTGATGTTGAATTCTAAAGAAAAAAAAGTACTTTTTTTTTTTTTTTTGACACGGAGTCTCACTCTGTTGCCAGGCTCAAGTGCAGTGGCGCGATCTCGGCTCACTGCAACCTCCGCCTCCCAGGTTCAGGCGATTCTCCAGCCTCAGCCTCCTGAGTAGCTGGGACTACAGGCACATGCCACCATGCCCAGGTAATTTTTGTATTTTTAGTAGAGACAGGGTTTCACCACGTTGGCCGGGATGGTCTCGATCTGTTGACCTCATGATCGCCCACCTTGGCCTCCCAGAGTGCTGGGATTACAGGCGTGAGCCACCGCACCGGGCCTACTTGTACTATTTGATTATGTATTCTATTCAATTAACCATTGCCACTTTCACTGAGAGGCACCTGGAATTCTAAATCCTCAACATTTTGCTCATGTGTCCATTACTTTTAGCTGGGCTTACCACATGCATATAGCCTGGCGTGAAGGAGTTTCTTCTTTTCTGTCCTGAACGATGCTCCATGCTTATCATGGGTGATGGTGGGAGGGTGGAGGGCAAAGCAGGGCTGGAGGATTTCATCCAAAGAATTGACCTCCAGCTCCACCTCCACCCACCCCGTGCTCTGTAGCCCTGGAAAGATGTTTGGAGAGCAGCTGCCATCCTTTCCTTGTGTACCTACTGTCCTGACTATCTTCCCCAGACCAAACCCTCTATAATGGAAATATACAAAGTTATTTTCTTAAGCTGCAGTAACTCTCAAAAAAGCAATATAGTATGAGAGAGAACAAAGGCTGTCACTGAATCTAATCTACTCATACTCTTAACCAAAGAAGGGAAGGGTTTGTTTATGGCTTCGGTTTTCCAAAAAGAGACCATTCCAAATGTCCCCTCTCTGAGGCCCTCTTTCATGTCTCTCAGTTGAAAAACCTTTTACAAAACTCCTTGATGCTCCACAGGGAGAAATTCCTCCCTTTTGGTCCCTTGTGTCCTGCAAAGTTGAGTGTCAGATGTGAAGGCTTCAATCCTGTATGTGACAGTGAACCTGGGTGCTCCAATTCTAGTTCAATCTTCCCAGCAGAAAGCCATGCAGTTGATTGCCTCATTAGTTTTCCTAAAAAGTAAGCCATCTTGTCATGTTTCCATTTATTTTCTCATCATATGAAGGAAGGGTAGAATTCTTCCCTCTGACCTTGCCCCTAGCAAAACAATATCACTATTTTTTGTGTGAATAATCTGGGGGGATATTTTTTCCAGTTTCCTGTCACAAAAAGGTCTATTCTCTAAGATCTAGAAACGTTTGAAAAACAATGACTATTGTTGTCATAATTTACATGGGAACAAATGGAGCATTATAAATACTGGTTATTTACTTAACTAGTCCCAGAAGTCCAGAGACAGAACTTATTCTAAAACTACCTGACAATATTTTCTACTAAACCTGTATTTGGAGGCATAACAGAGATTCTTTATTTCACTAAGAATTATTTTAAAAATTCAGAAGTCTTGGAAGTAAATGCTTTGAAGTTTTAAAGTTTAATCTTTAGGAATTTAATAAAGAAACAAAATAATAATATACCAGGAAGAACAGTAGTTTTGGAATTAAACAGACTTGGAATTAGTTCTGTCTGAATAAAGGAGATGTTGAGACCTTGAAGGTTACTTAACCTCTGCAGTGGCTTGGTGACCCCCAGCTACCAAGCTGATGATATCTAGTCAGAGAATATTAAATGAAGTAACTGCTGAAAGTCTCGATCACACAACGTTTGTGCAATAAATGCCAATTGAGTCAATATATTTTTTATTTTTATCGGAAGTGTAGGATCCAGCCCTCCATTATTGCTGATGTGGCCATAAGGTTAAGTTGAGGTCAGTGATACATGGTAGAAGTGATGTGTGCCACTCCTGGGTCTTGCCATTAAAAGGATTGTGAGGGCACTCACCTGGTCCTATCTCCACATCATGCTGGCTGGGAGATAATATGACCTAGAGTAGCCAACTGGGGCACACAGTGGGGGGCCAGGGTGAGGGAGGCCTGAACCCTTGCCTGCCATGGACTGTTGTGTGACAGAGAAATGAACGGCCATCAGTTTAAGCTGCTGTCTTTCCCTTTCCCTTTCCTCCCTCTCTCCTTCCATCCCTCCCTTCCTTCCTTCCTTTCTTCCCTCTCCCTCCTCTCTTTCTTTCTTTCTTTTTTCTTTCTTTCTTTCTTTCTTTCCTTCTTTCTTTCTTCCTTTCTTTCTTCTTTCTTTCTCTTTTTCTTTTTTTCTTTCTTTCTCTTTCTTTCTTTCTCTCTCTCTCCCCCTTTCCCTCCCTCCCTTCCTTCCTTCCTCCCTTCCTCCCTCCCTCTTCTCTCTCTTTCTCTTTCTATCTTTCTTTCTTTTTCTCTCCCTCTCTCTTCCTTTCCCTCCCTCCCTCTCTCCCTCCCTTCCCTCCATTTTCTTTCTTTCTTTCTTTCTTTCTTTCTTTCTTTCTTTCTTTCTTTCTTTCCTCTTTTTCTTTCTCTTCCTTCCATTCTTTCTCTCTTTTCTTTATTCTATTATTTCTTTCACATCTGTAGCTTGAGCTGTACTCTAGTAAAAGTCTAAACACCAGATAGAAAGAAAATTATGGTGAGGGAAGGCTTAGTTTTACTTTCTTAATGAACTTACTTACTATGGAGCCATTAAAATACTTATTAAGAGTATGCAATAATATGAAGTAATGCTGATGATGTTATGTCAAATTTATAAAGCAAAATGAAAAATCATAAACATGATTACAATCATTGTTTTAAGTACCTGTATTAGTCAGGGTTTCTCAGAGAAACAAAATATATATATAAATCTTGAGATATAAATATAATGTTTATTATTTTTATATTTAAATTTATATATTTAAATGAGATATATATGTGTATATATGTAATATATATGTAAGATTTATTATTCATGTAATTATAGAGGCTGAGAAGTCCCATAATCTGCCATCTGCAAGCTGGAGACTCAAGAAAGCTGGTGGTTTAGTTTGAAGACCTTAGAGCTAGAGGGCTGATGGTATAGATTCCAGTTCAAGTTTGAAGGCCTGAGAAGCAGGAGTGTGCAGGACAGGAGAAGATTGCTGTCCCAGCTCAGGCAGTCAGACAGAGTGTGAATTCAACCTTCCTCCACATTTCTGTTGTATTCAGGCCCTCAGAGGCTTAGAGGATGCCCACTCACACTGGGGAGGCCCATCTGCTTTACTCAGGCCACAAGTTCTAATGCTGGTCCCCTTCAGAAACCGCCCTCAGATATGCACCCAGAAAGGATGTTGAATCAAATAACTCAGCATCCCATGGCCCAGTCAAGTTGACACATAAAATTAACCATCGCAGTGTCTAAATAAGAAAAAGCAACATTAGAAAGAAATACAATAAATATAACCATCTTTGTGTTCGAATAATGACATTATGCTACTTTTTTTTGCTCTATTTTCTGATTTTCATAAATAAATATATGTTATTTTTGTAATGGGAAAATTTTAAAGATTCTTCTGAGAAGATAGTCAATAATCCAGTAAGAATTTCTTTACAGAGATGTACATCCTAACATTGTTTTTAAAAAAGAGAAACTGGCACTTAACAGTAAGTGAGTGACTACATAAATTGTATAAAGCAGCATATTAGTTTGCTAGGCTGCTGTAACAAATACTACAGACTGAGTGGCTTAGGATTATAAATTTATTTTCTTCCAGTTCTGGAGGCTAGAAGTGCAAGATCAGGATGCAGGCAGGTCCGATTTCTGCTGATGCCTGTTTCCTTGGCTTGCAGATGGCAGCTTTCTTGCTGTCTCTCCACATGGTCTTTCCTCTATGCACACTCACCCCTGGTGTCTCTCATTGTGTGTCTAAATTTCCTCTTATAAGGATACCAATCAGATTTGGCTAGGGCTCATCCTGATGTCCTCATTGTATCTTATTCACCTCTTTGTGTGCCTTATCTCCAAACCCAGTCATATTCTGAAGTACTGGTAGGTTAGGGCATAAACATACACATTTTGAGAGGACACAATTTAGCTTAAAACGCATGGTACTAAAGATCATATTGGGAAGACTCTAGCATAGGGAAAGGGTGATGGTATCATATGAAGTGGGAAAAAGTTAAGTTAAAAATAATTTATATAGTACAATATTAAATTTATAGAAAATAATGTATATTGAAATAAGCTTCTGTTTAGGATAACATCTGTGACTTAGTCTCTGTCAATATTCAGACATTGAGGATTTACACTAATTATAAGACCTGTGGAGCTGAAATCAATTGGCAATGGATAGTGACACACGTATTGTCATTTCAAAGGGAGCAAATTTGCTATCCTAAAAAATGAAAAAGGTGTTATTATAAATTAGCATAAAATTTACATGCATCATAAGTATACTGAAAGGGAATTCATCAACTTATTAGTGTCAGCTATCTTTGATGGTGGGTCTAATGTATGATTTTTATTTTCTTTACATTTTTTCTATATTTTCCAAACTTTACAATGAGTTAACTTTATTATTATCATCAGAAAAATAACAAATGTTACTTTAAAAATAAATCATAATACTGAATGGTTTAGAAATGGCACATGCAAGGCATGACTGTGGCTGCCCTACAATACTTTTAAAAGATAAACAATTGGAGGAGCCAAGATGGCCGAATAGGAACAGCTCCGGTCTACAGCTCCCAGCCAGAGTGACGCAGAAGACGGGTGATTTCTGCATTTCCATCTGAGGTACCGGGTTCATCTCACTAGGGAGTGCCAGACAGTGGGCGCAGGTCAGTGGGTGCGTGCAGCGTGCGCGAGCCGAAGCAGGGCGAGGCATTGCCTCACTCAGGAAGCACAAGGGGTCAGGGAGTTCCCTTTCCTAATCAAAGAAAGGGGTGACGGAGGGCACCTGGAGAATCGGGTCATTTCCACCGGAATACTGCGCTTTTCTGACTGGCTTAAAAAACGGCGCACCACGGGATTATATCCCGCACCTGGCTTGGAGGGTCCTACCCCATGGAGTCTCGCTGACTGCTAGCACAGCAGTCTGAGATCAAACTGCAAGGTGGCAGTGAGGCTGCGGGGGAGGGGCGCCCACCATTGCCCAGGCTTGCTTAGGTAAACAAAACAGCCAGGAAGCTTGAACTGGGTGGAGCCCACCACAGCTCAAGGAGGCCTGCCTGCCTCTGTAGGCTCCACCTCTGGGGGCAGGGCACAGGCAAACAAAAAGACAGCAGTAACCTCTGCAGACTTAAATGTCCCTGTCTGACAGCTTTGAAGAGAGCAGTGATTCTCCCAGTATGCAGCTGGAGATCTGAGAACGGGCAGACTGCCTCCTCAAGTGGGTCCCTGACCCCTGACCCCCAAGCAGCCTAACTGGGAGGCACCCTCCAGCAGGGGCACACTGACACCTCACACTGCAGGGTACTCCAACAGACCTGCAGCTGAGGGTCCTGTCTGTTAGAAGGAAAACTAACAAACAGAAAGGACATCCACACCAAAAACCCATCTGTACATCACCAACATCAAAGACCAAAAGTAGATAAAACCACAAAGATGGGGAAAAAACATAACAGAAAAACTGGAAACTCTAAAAATCAGAGCGCCTCTCCTCCTCCAAAGGAACACAGCTCCTCACCACCAACGGAACAAAGCTGGACGGAGAATGACTTTGGCAAGCTGAGAGAAGGCTTCAGACGATCAAATTACTCTGAGCTACAGGAGGACATTCAAACCAAAGGCAAAGAAGTTGAAAACTTTGAAAAAAATTTAGAAGAATGTAAAAATAGAATAACCAATACAGAGAAGTGCTTAAAGGAGCTGATGGAGCTGAAAACCAAGGCTCGAGAACTACGTGAAGAATGCAGAAGCCTCAGGAGCTGATGCGATCAACTGGAAGAAAGGGTATCAGCAATGGAAGATGAAATGAATGAAATGAAGCGAGAAGGAAAGTTTAGAGAAAAAAGAATAAAAAGAAGTGAGCAAAGCCTCCAAGAAATATGGGACTATGTGAAAAGACCAAATCTACGTCTGATTGGTGTACCTGAAAGTGATGGGGAGAATGGAACCAAGTTGGAAAACACTCTGCAGGATAGTATCCAGGAGAATTTCCCCAATCTAGCAAGGCAGGCCAACGTTCAGATTCAGGAAATACAGAGAACGCCACAAAGATACTCCTCGAGAAGAGCAACTCCAAGACACATGATTGTCAGATTCACCAAAGTTGAAATGAAGGAAAAAATGTTAAGGGCAGCCAGAGAGAAAGGTCAGGTTACCCTCAAAGGGAAGCCCAGCAGACTAACAGCGGATCTCTCGGCAGAAACCCTACAAGCCAGAAGAGAGTGGGGGCCAATATTCAACGTTCTTAAAGAAAAGAATTTTCAACCCAGAATTTCATATCCAGGCAAACTAAGCTTCATAAGTGAAGAAGAAATAAAATACTTTACAGACAAGCAAATGCTGAGAGATTTTGTCACACCAGGCCTGCCCTAAAAGAGCTCCTGAAGGGAGCGCTAAACATGGAAAGGAACAACCGGTACCAGCCGCTGCAAAATCATGCCAAAATGTAAAGACCATCGAGACTAGGAAGAAACTGCATCAACTAATGAGCAAAATAACCAGTTAACATCATAATGACAGGATCAAATTCACACATAACACTATTAACTTTAAATGTAAATGGACTAAATGCTCCAATTAAAAGACACAGACTGGCAAATTGGATAAAGAGTCAAGACCCATCAGTGTGCTGTATTCAGGAAACCCATCTCACGTGCAGAGACACACATAGGCTCAAAACAAAAGGATGGAGGAAGATCTACCAAGCAAATGGAAAACAAAAAAAGGCAGGGGTTGCAATCCTAGTCTCTGATAAAACAGACTTTAAAACAACAAAGATCAAAAGAGACAAAGAAGGCCATTACATAAAGGTAAAGGGATCAATTCAACAAGAAGAGCTCACTATCCTAAATACATATGCATCCAATACAGGAGCACCCAGATTCATAAAGCAAGTCCTGAGTGACCTACAAAGAGACTTAGACTCCCACACATTAATAATGGGAGACTTTAACACCCCACTGTCAACATTAGACAGATCGACGAGACAGAAAGACAACAAGGATACCCAGGAATTGAACTCAGCTCTGCACCAAGTGGACCTAATAGACATCTACAGAACTCTCCACCTCAAATCAACAGAATATACATTTTTTTCAGCACCACACCACACCTATTCCAAAATTAACCACATACTTGGAAGTAAAGCTCTCCTCAGCAAATGTAAAAGAACAGAAATTATAACAAACTATCTCTCAGACCACAGTGCAATCAAACTAGAACTCAGGATTAAGAATCTCACTCAAAACTGCTCAACTACATGGAAACTGAACAACCTGCTCCTGAATAACTACTGGATACATAACGAAATGAAGGCAGAGATAAAGATGTTCTTTGAAACCAACGAGAACAAAGACACAACATACCAGAATCTCTGGGACGCATTCAAAGCAGTGTGTAGAGGGAAATTTATAGCACTAAATGCCCACAAGAGAAAGCAGGAAAGATCCAAAATTGACACCCTAACATCACAATTAAAAGAACTAGAAAAGCAAGAGCAAACACATTCAAAAGCTAGCAGAAGGCAAGAAATAACTAAAATCAGAGCAGAACTGAAGGAAATAGAGACACAAAAAACCCTTCAAAAAATTAATGAATCCAGGAGCTGGTTTTTTGAAAGGATCAACAAAATTGATAGACCACTAGCAAGACTAATAAAGAAAAAAAGAGAGAAGAATCAAATAGACGCAATAAAAAATGATAAAGGGGATATCACCACTGATCCCACAGAAATACAAACTACCATCAGAGAATACTACAAACACCTCTATGCAAATAAACTAGAAAATCTAGAAGAAATGGATAAATTCCTTGACACATACACTCTCCCAAGACTAAACCAGGAAGAAGTTGAATCTCTGAATAGACCAATAACAGGATCTGAAATTGTGGCAATAATCAATAGCTTTCCAACCAAAAAGAGTCCAGGACCAGATGGATTCACAGCCGAATTCTACCAGAGGTACAAGGAGGAACTGGTACCATTCCTTCTGAAACTATTCCAATCAATAGAAAAAGAGGGAATCCTCCCTAACTCATTTTATGAGGCCAGCATCATTCTGATACCAAAGCCTGGCAGAGACACAACCAAAAAAGAGAATTTTAGACCAATATCCTTGATGAACATTGATGCAAAAATCCTCAATAAAATACTGGCAAATGGAATCCAGCAGCACATCAAAAAGCTTATCCACCATGATCAAGTGGGCTTCATCCCTGGGATGCAAGGCTGGTTTAATATACGCAAATCAATAAATGTAATCCAGCATATAAACAGAGCCAAAGACAAAAACCACATGAATATCTCAATAGATGCAGAAAATGCCTTTGACAAAATTCAACAACCCTTCATGCTAAAAACTCTCAATAAGTTAGGTATTGATGGGACATATTTCAAAATAATAAGAGCTATCTATGACAAACCCACAGCCAATATCATACTGAATGGGCAAAAACTGGAAGCATTCCCTTTGAAAACTGGCACAAGACAGGAATGCCCTCTCTCACCACTCCTATTCAACATAGTGTTGGAAGTTCTGGCCAGGGCAATTAGGCAGGAGAAGGAAATAAAGGGTAGTCAATTAGGAAAAGAGGAAGTCAAATTGTCCCTGCTTGCAGATGACATGATTGTATATCTAGAAAACCCCATTGTCTCAGCCCAAAATCTCCTTAAGCTGATAAGCAACTTCAGCAAAGTCTCAGGATACAAAATCAATGTGCAAAAATCACAAGCATTCCTATACACCAACAACAGACAAACGGAGAGCCAAATCATGAATGAACTCCCATTCACAATTGCTTCAAAGAGAAGAAAATACCTAGGAATCCAACTTACAAGGGATGTGAAGGACCTCTTCAAGGAGAACTACAAACCACTGCTCAAGGAAATAAAAGAGGATACAAACAAATGGAAGAACATTCCATGCTCATGGGTAGGAAGAATCAATATCGTGAAAATGGCCATACTGCCCAAGGTAATTTACAGATTCAATGCCATCCCCATCAAGTTACCAATGCCTTTCTTCACAGAATTGGAAAAAACTACTTTAAAGTTCATATGGAACCAAAAAAAAGTCCGCATCACCAAGTCAATCCTAAGCCAAAAGAACAAAGCTGGAGGCATCACACTACCTGACTTCAAACTATACTACAAGGCTACAGTAACCAAAACAGCATGGTACTGGTAACAAAACAGAGATATAGATCAATGGAACAGAACAGAGCCCTCAGAAATAACGCTGCATATCTACAACTATCTGATCTTTGACAAACCTGGGAAAAACAAGCAATGGGGAAAGGATTCCCTATTTAATAAATTGTGCTGGGAAAACTGGCTAGCCATATGTAGAAAGCTGAAACTGGATCCCTTCTTTACACCTTATACAAAAATCAATTCAAGATGGATTAAAGACTTAAACGTTAGACCTAAAACCATAAAAACCCTAGAAGAAAACCTAGGCATTACCATTCATGACATAGGCATGGGCAAGGACTTCATGTCTAAAACACCAAAAGGAATGGCAACAAAAGACAAAATTGACAAATGGGATCTAATTAAACTAAAGAGCTTCTGCACAGCAAAAGAAACTACCATCAGAGTGAACAGGCAACCTACAAAATGGGAGAAAATTTTTGCAACCTACTCATCTGACAAAGGGCTAATATCCCGAACCTACAATGAACTCCAACAAATTTACAAGATAAAAACAAACAACCCCATCAAAAAGTGGGCAAAGGACATGAACAGACACTTCTCAAAAGAAGACATTTATGCAGACAAAAAACACATGAAAAAATGCTCATCATCACTGGCCATCAGAGAAATGCAAATCAAAACCACAATAAGATACCATCTCACACCAGTTAGAATGGCAATCATTAAAAAGTCAGGAAACAACCGGTGCTGGAGAGGATGTGGAGAAATAGGAACACTTTGACACTGTTGGTGGGACTGTAAACTAGTTCAACCATTGTGGAAGTCAGTGTGGCAATTCCTCAGGGATCTAGAACTGGAAATACCATTTGACCCAGCCATCCCATTACTGGGTATATACCCAAATGACTATAAATCATGCTGATATAAAGACACATGCACACATATATTTATAGTGGCACTATTCACAATAGCAAAGACTTGGAACCAACCCAAATGTCCAACAATGATAGACTGGATGAAGAAAATGTGGCACATATACACCATGGAATACTATGCACCCATAAAAAATGATGAGTTCATGTCCTTTGTAGGGACATGGATGAAATTGGAAATCATCATTCTCAGTAAACTATCACAAGAACAAAAAACCACACACTGCATATTCTCACTTATAGGTGGGAAGTGAACAATGAGATCACATGGACACAGGAAGGGGAACATCACACTCTGGGGACTGTTGTGGGGTGGGGGGAGGGGGGTGGGATAGCACTGGGAGATATACCTAATGCTAGATGACGAGTTAGTGGGTGCAGCACACCAGCATGGCACATGTATACGTATGTAACTAACCTGCACAATGTGCACATGTACCCTAAAACTTAAAGTATAATAATAAAAAAAATTTTAAAAAAATAAAATAAAATAAAATAAAATAAAAGATAAACAATTTAACAATTCAATTGAAGAATGTGTTGAGGATCTTCATGGGTAGGCAATAGGTCATATTTCTAGACATTAGAGATAAAGCTATTTTTCAAGAAAGCATTCCTATTCTTCCATATCTCACTATTTAGTTGAAAAGATGGATGCATAAATTTAAAATTTCTGTTGTGTGTACGTGGACACGGGGACAAAGAGACAGGAACAATTAATTCTGCCTTGGAGGGTCATGAAAAACTAGAGAAGTGGCAGCACTTGAACTTATCTTTGGAGGATAAGTGGGGGTTTGCTGGGTTGAATGAGTGGCAGTGGAAGTGACATTCCAAGCAGAGAAAAGCCCGCCAGCAAAGACACAGCTTTGAAGCAGCTTCAGTTTGGTACCTGGAGTCGAGGGTTGTGGTTGGAGGAGATAAATGAGAAAGACAGATTGGGGATTCAATAAGGACTGCTGAATTCCATTCTAAGGCGTTGTACATTATCCTATTGGCATTACATCATAAGTAGGCTGGTTTGTAGAATATTGTTGACATAATGAAGGCCAAGCTTGAGATAGTGACAGTAGAATAAAAAGGAGGGAACAGAAGTCAAGTGGTTTCTGAGATAAGACTGGATGTTTATCCATGGGATGAGTGAGTAAGAGCATGAATGAATCAAGGATTCCTCTTAAGTCCTTGTTGGGAAAACTGTGTGAATAGTCATATCATAATCCAAAATGAAAGCGCAGGAAAGAAGTAGAGGGTTGGGTACTGTATGAACCTATCTGCTTACAGCTCTAAAAGCCCCAACTCTGGCCCATGGTACACATTCAATATATATTTATTGACCTTGACCCTGAATGTTAGTCTAGGCCTGTCCTGTGAGTGCCGCATGGATTCAGACACACCACAGAGCGACACTCACAGCCTGCCGTTCTACTTCCTCACTGGGCATTTTTCAGATATCTTCACCAATCACTTGCACCAGCCAGCTTTGTACCATGGTGCTCTATAACTCTCATAAAAAGCAAGAAAATAAGCCCAGTGTTATAGAGAGAAACAAAAAATCAACAGCTGTAATAAACATTCACATCCAAGTCTAAAATCACCATAAAAAGCTAAGAAAAACCTTTTGCCTAAATTTGTCATAATCCAATCCAATGAAAACAAACAAGAAAAAAACTGGCCCTGAATGCTCAATCTGATATTCAGGACAGCAGACGCTTCATAAGAATTGCAGATAAAAGCCAAGATTGAATTTCTTGAGGCCAGACTTAAGCACATTTTACTGCCTGTGACTGAGAAGGGAACAATTAGAAAATAGGCAGTCATGACAGGATCGTTTCCCTATTGCCTCCCGTAATCACAAATGCACACAAACAGCAACAGTAAAAAGCCTGCACAAAATACTTCATAATTTCTTTTCATCATTCAATTACCACTCTGCAATGTGCAAAGCTCTTTTGCAAAACAACATCTCATTTAATCCTCACAAAGATCTGAGAGCTAAGAGTTGTTAACATAATCATTTTCTAGACAGTGGACTAAAGCTCAAAGGTTAAGCTTGTCCAAGATCTCACATACACACTTGGCTACAAGGTCCGTAGTACGCAGAGACAATGTGCTCCTACAAGGGTAGGGACAATGTATTTCATTCTCATGCCTGAGCACCTAGTATAATATCTGGCACACAACAGGTAGGAGAAATGAATGAGTAAAAAAATGAGTTAAGTAATGAAAAAAAGGACTGCTCCCAAATGTACTTTTACCACATGATGCTACTTCTTAAAAGAGAATGCAATATATTTAGTCAGAATGTTAACTTTGGACATCTTATAATGCTCAAGAAAAAAAAAAGGACTCTTTTCATCTGTGGACGCCTTCACATTATCCTACCAAGGTCACATTTTCCCTTTCCACATCACTCAGTGCTTTTGGGTTTTATATTAGCTTTGTGCTGAAAATTGAAATTGGAATATTAGAACTCAGTTGGGGAGCACACTAATTTAATTAAATATTAAAAGCCAGCTGGTTTTATGTTATGTGGGCAAATTAGAGAATTAATGATTTGGTACACTTTCTTGTTCCTGTCAAGCTACAAGAACATGAAGAATAGCTCATTCATACCCAGTTACAAAAGGTGAGATTGAAAAATTAGGTCTGCCTTATTAAAGTGTTTCCATCTAGAGTCTTTTGAGAATAGGGTAACTTACTTATTTATAAAATGCCTCAGAAGGCACTAGCTCCTGGGCCAACGGGAAAGGACCTGAGAGATCTTTTTACTCGACATCTTGAGTAAAGCCTCACCTGGGAAAACGAATCCACTTTAGAATCCTGAAGTGTTATCTTTTTGTGCAAGCAGGTTGGGAGTCAATTGGGTGCCTGCTGCTGTCAAATGACTGTAAGCTCATCAGCTCCTTTAAGACTTGAAGAATATCTCAGAAACACAGAGTGTGAAATGAGGTAATAAGGGTGACATGTGAACAGTAGAAATGATTTTTAGTCCTCATCGGTCATGCATTGTACTCAAAGTTCCCAGATTTCTTGGTCTTCAGACTTCCCAGATTTCTTGGTCCTATGAGTACACACACAATATCTATACAAGGCAATATATTAAAAAACAAGAGCTCTCTATTTACCCCAAGGCCGAATGCTCAACTTTCTGACGAATGTTCTCAGTTTGTTAGAAGATTTGTGATTGCCTTTTGTATTCCAGATCTTTTCTATTTTCCTCCTACATTCTATTCCATTCCTCTCTCCCCTTTTACACTAGAAAACTGAGGCTAGGTTGTATGTTGAATGGGAAGATGCTATGGAACTCTGAACAAGTCACCTAACCTCTCTGTTTCTCAGGTTCCTTCTATGACATAAAGGAATCAAACATAATAATAAATAAATTTTTATTATTACTTTGTGCCTTCACAGAACTGTGCAATATTGTCACAAATAACTACCGTTTGTGACAATTCTGCAATCCATACTGGGCTCAGGTGAGTAGTGCTTCAGCTAGTCCTTCAGTGTTAATTCCTGTGGCTGCATTCAGTTGTGAGCCATCTGGGGTGAGGCTTAGCTAGGACAGGAGAGCAGCTGGGACTTTGTCTTCCTGTAATCTCAGGGCCTCTGCTCCACACGGCCCCTCCATGTGGTCCATGCACAAGATCTCTTAAGCAGAGCGTCTGGACATCTTACGAAGTGCCTCAAGACTCCTAAGACTGCAAAAGCAGAGGCTACCTGTGCCAGGCCCTCTTAAGGCTTAGGCCCAGAATTTGAGCCTCATGTCTGCTGTGTTCTTTTGGTTAAAGCAAGCCTTAGTTGCTCCCAGATTCAAGGGAAGGAAGCTATTCAAGGCTGTGAACGTGGAAAGTGTGGTTAATTATGGGCCACCAAAGTAACTGACTACCTTGGTAAACTTAGAAAACATCTGCTAGTTTAGTACCTAGACCTTCTACATGTGGTGCTCTCTACTTCTAAAATCATATTTTGAACAGTTATATTTTTAAAAATGATGATCACTGACAAGATTATATTATCTTGCCCAGAGGTGTGTCACAGTATTTTCGTTCATGAAAATGTCTTTTCAATACTTTCTCACATTACTATGGTCTTGTTGGTTTGTCTAAAAATGACTGGTAACTTGATTATTTTAGATGGGTGAAGTTTTGGGTAATTTAGAGTAAACTTTTTCAACTACATAACTTATGGTATTATTTCTTATGCTTCCCCATTTTCTCCAGGATCAAACATGTAATTATTGAGATACCTTTCTCTTTTTTCCCCAACTTTTATTTTGGATTTATGGAGTATATGTGAGGGTTTGTCACATGAGCATATTGAGTGATGTTGAGGTTTGCGGTACGAATGTTCCCATCACCCAGGTAGCAAGCATAGTACCAATAGTTAATTTTTCACCTCTTGCCCCGCTTCCTTCCTCCCCTCTCTAGTAGGCTCCAGTGTCTGTTGTTCACATGTTTGGATCCATGAGGACCCAGTGTTTGGCTCCCACTTATAAGTGAGCACATGCGGTATTTGGTTTTCTGTTCCTGCATTAGTTTGTTCAGGATAATGGCCTCCAGCTTTATCCATGTTGCTGCAAAGGAGATAATTTCAGGATGTTTTTAATGACTGCATAGTATTCCATAGTATATATGTACCATATTTTTCTTTATCTAATCCATGGTAATAGGCACCTAGGTTGATTGCATGTTTTTGCTATTGTGATTAGTGCTGCAATGAACATGCAAGTGCATGTGTCTTTTGGCAGAACAATTTATTTTCTTTTGGATATATAGTCTACCCAGTAATGGAATCGATGGGTCAAATGGTGGTTCTGTTTTAAGTTCTTTGAGAAATCTCCAAACTACTTTTCAAAGTGACTGAACTAATTTACATTCTCACCAATAGTGCATAAACATGTCATTTTCTCTACAGCCTCACTTAGCGTCTGTTTGTTTTTTTGACTTTTTAATAATAGCCATTGTTATTGGTGTGAGATAGTATCTCATTGTGGTTTTGATTTGCATTTCTCAGATGATCAGTGATGTTGAGCGTTTTGTTGTATGCCTGTTGGCTGTGAGTATGTCATTTTTTTTTGAGAAGTGTCTGTTCATGTCCTTTGCCCACTTTTTAAAGGGCTTATTTGTTTTTTATATGTTGAATTATTTAAGTTTCTTATAGATCCTGGATAGTAGCCCTTTGTCAGATGCATAGTTTGTGAATATTTTCTCCCATTCTGTAGTTTGTCAGTTTACTCTGCTGATAGTTTCCTTTCTGTGCAGAAGCCATTTTGTTGAATTAAGTCCTACTCGTCAATTTTTGTTTTGTTGCAATTGCTTTTGAGGACTTAGGCATAAATTATTTTCCAAGGCTGATGTCCAGAATGGTGTTTCCTAGGTTTTCTTCTAGAATTTTTATTGTTTGAGGTCTTATGTTTAAACTTTTAATCCAGCTTGAGTTAATTTTTGTGTGTGGTGAAAGGTAGAGGTCCAGTTTTATTCTTTTACATATGACTAGCCAGCTATCTCAGCACCATTTATTGAACAGGTAGTCCCTTTTCCATTGCTTATTTTTGTCGACTTTGCTGAAGATCAGATAGCTGTATGTGGGTGGCTTTACTTTTGGGTTCTCTATTCTGTTCCATTGGTCTATGTGTCTGTTTTTGTACCAGCACCATGCTGTTTTGGTTACTGTAGCCTTATAGTATAGTTTGAAGTCAAGTAATATGTTACCTCCAGCTTTGTTATTTTTGCTTAGGATTGCTTTGACTATTGAGGCTCTTTTTTAGTTCCATTTAGAATTTTATAATAGTTTTTTCTATTTCTGTGAAAAATGATATTAGTAGTTTGATAGGAATAGTGTTGAATCTGTAGATTGCTTTGGGCAGCATGACCATTTTAACAATATTGATTCTTGCAATCTGCAAGCATGGAATATTTTTCCATTTGTTTGTGTCATCTATGATTTCTTTTGGCAGTATTTTTAGTTCTCCTTGTAATAATTATTCACCTCTTTGGTTAAATGTATTCCTAGGTATTTGATTTTCTGTGTGGCAACTGCAAAGGGAATTGCATTCTTGATTTTCCTTGAATATGCTTTCATGCTTGCCCTTGTTTTTTTTTTTTAATTTTTATTTTGGACTTGCTGAACTCCTTTATTAGTTAAAATGCTTTGGGCTGTAAATATAAGAAAATCCATCCCACCTCAGCTTACACAGGTGTTTTGGGTTGATCTGTGTCAACCCAAATATTCTGCTGTATAGAAATGCTACTGGTTTTTATTCATTGATTTTGTATGCTGATACTTTACTAAAGTCATTTATAATTTCTGGGAGCCTTTTGATGAAGGCATTAGGGTTTTCTAGGTATAGAATCATGCTGTCCATGAAGAAATATATGACTGCTTCTTTTCCTATTTAGATGCCTTTTATTTCTTTTTCTTGCCTGATTGCTCTAGCTAGGACTCCCATTAAGATGGCTTATACCAGTAGCCATGACCTCCTCTGTCCTCCCCCATACACTTCTTTTGACATGAATATTTCCTACTTATTTGTTAAGTTGAGCTTAGACAAATCTTGTTCTAGGAAACTTCCCCTGACTCACTCTAAACCAGATTGTAGATGATATACATCTTATTTGTACCCGTAGAATCCTAAATGTCCTCTATTCTAGCACTTGCCACATTAAAATTTTCTATTTATTTTCTGTACTCTTCTCCTCCACCAAAATCTAAGCTCAGTGAGGACAGACACCACATTTGTTTTGTTTACTGTTATGTTTTTGGCTAGAGGAATGCCATAACATGTTGAATGAGTGATGGAATAAATAAATCTCAAGGACTGCAGCATTAAGGGCTTGGTAGTTTTTTTTTTTCCTTAACTCAAGTCTGCAATATGGAAATCATATTTTGTTTTCTTATTGGCTTTAACTCCTTCTCACTCTTAAACCTCAAATTCTTCTTTTTCCATGCCAACAGTGTGAGTAGTAATGGATAGAAACCCTCCTGGGATTTTTGTGTTAAAAGAGTGTTTTATATCTACAAGAATCTCTGATTGGTGGTTCTAGACGGTGTGGATAAAGACAGTGAAGAAAGCTGACAGAGCCCAGGGGTTATTGAGAAGGCAACTGGAGGCATCCGCTGGGCAGGAAGTCTTCTCAGATCTCTTTATTTTATTCTGAAGGTATGTTCTTCATCTGCCTATGTATTGCTCTTTCCTACGCTGCATCCTTTCCAGCTGACATGCATTCTTTGCTATCATGGTTTCACTGGGCTATGGTAACCATGAAGTCATTCACATATATTAATGGGTTCAAGAGAAGTGTTTCTGGTGGCCTTTGAGGCCACTTACCAGATAGGGAAATTTATAGCATGGTAGTGGACATTATTATCTTCCCATGTATATCCATTTGCTAAGGCTCCTGTAACAAAGTACCAAAAACTGAGCAGCTTACACAGCACAAATGTATTGTCTCACAGTTCTGGAGGCTGGAAGTCTGAGATCGAGGTGTCAATAGAGTTGGTTCCTCCTGAGGCCCGTGAAAGAGAATCTCTTCCATGCCTCTCTTCTAGCTTCTGGTGGTTTGCTGGTGATCTCTGGCATTCCTTGGCTTATAGGAGCATCACTCTGATCTTTGCCTTCATCCTCACAGGGTATTCTCTCTGTGGGTGACTCTGTCTCCAACTTTCCCTTTTATTAAGGACATCAGTCATATTGAATTAGGGCCCACCCTAATGCCCTCACTTTCTTGCCTCTGTGAGGGCCTTATCTTCAAATACAGCCACATTCTGAGGTACTAGGTTAGGACTTCCACATATGAATTTGGGAGGGGACACAGGTCAACACAAAACCCCTGTGTAAGCTGATATGGGATGGATTTTCTTATATTTACAGCCCAAAGCATTCTAACTAATACAGGAGTTCAGCAAGTCCAAAATAAAAAGTAAAAAAAAAAAAATAAAATAAAACAAGGGCAAGCATGAAAGCATATGTTCATCTCCTGGGGCTGACACACTTTTCCTAAAATGAGAATTTTTAAGTTGAACCTAAGACAAGTGAAATATACATGGAGTCTGAACAGATTGCTACTTGGGAAAAAAAATACAACACATGGCAGCTTCTGAATCACTGGCATAATCATTTGTGCCCAACTTCTTTGGATACGCAAAAGAGGAAAACATCTATGACACAAGTTGGGTTTCCAGTTCTTTTATGTGATTACATACTCCAGAGTGCAAAGACCAGTGCCCAATGTAGATTCTCAATGTATATTTGGTCATAATTGATTTCTTACTTTAAAATTTTTGTTTCTTGAAGTGAGGTTGAAAATGTTTTCTCTATATATGATTAAAAAGACATATTTGCTTTTATGTTACTGTCTATCAAGTAAGTAAAGCAGATATTCTTACCCAAGATAAATCATGGGTCACAGAGAACATTTTGCTTTTTAAGATTACTACCAGCATATGGCTATATTTTGGGGATGTAAAAATAGTATGAGCGAAATAAGATCCAACTTGATATTTGAAAGGCAAAGGAACCTAAAGGAAACATTAAAATAATGGGAATTGTTTTCATAATCTTATGGTGCTATAAGGTCTAATTCTGTAACAGAAAGCTGCAGTGAGAATAATTAGATGAAATCTTTCTTGAAATGCAAAGAATTCAATTGTGCAGGTCTAAGTCTCCTGGACAGGCATATTCTCAGTACTCAGAATGAAGAAAAACCTTTTAGTTGGAAGTTACTCAAAGCACAAAAAGAGATACTGTCCTTGACCACCCCTGTCAGAAGCACAACAAAAGTAAGCAGGCCACGAATGAATTAAGCTAATTTGTACCCGGTTTACCTTTAGGCTTTGGGGTACATCTTAGAGGTTTTAGATGAAATCAGTGCAGAAAGGCTTTGAAAAGTTGAAAGGATGTCAGCAACCCTGAAAAGAATGAAAACTGACTTTAGGAAGCAATTGGAATAAAAGGTCAAACAGAAGGTTCCACAGGTTTTCAGAAAGAGATAAATGATAAATTATTGGTGACTCTTTCTGGCAGCTACTTGCCATTCTCAGTATCTGGCATTGTGTCTTAGTCAGTTTGGGCTACTGTAACAGAATAATGTAGATTAGGTGGCTTAAGTAACAAACATTTGTTTCTCATAGTCTGGAGGCTGGAAGTCCAGAATCAAGGTATTGGCAGATCTGCTTTTGGTGAGGGCCCACCTGTGGTTTGCAGATGGCTCCTCTCATTGTATTCTCATGTGGTAGAGAGCAGAGCGAAGGAACAAGTTCTTGCCCTGTATCTTCTTATAGGGGCACTAATCTACTTCATGAGGGCCCCACCCTCATGACCTAATCACCTCCCAAAGCCTCCACCTCCTAATACCAGCTTATTCAAGATTAGGATTTCAGCACATGAATTTGGGGGGAATATAAGCATTCAGCCCATAACACACTGTCTGGCCATGTGTCCTCAACATCCCCTTCATGTCATGATCCTTGCATGGATTTTTTCAAGGGGCTGCTGAGAAGTAGCATTCTCTAGTTGCAAGCTTTGGAGAAACTGTCTCTGCACATAAGCATCACATGGCATGGCTTTGCAATGGTGGTTTTTAAGATTGAACAGAATTATTAACTGAAGAAATTAAATGTGCTGTATGAAAAAGTGTAATCATGCCTGGAGGATGCAGGCTTTAGCTGTAGTGCTTGCTGGAATAAAGCCATTGATGAATGTGTCTGAGTGGTGCACCTGTTGGGCACTGTTTCTCTCCAGTTTCCCCTTTCTTGCCAAAGAAAAACACGTGAATGCTGCTGACTCTCATTTGGGAAGTAAAGGGAAAGTGTCCACATAGTTAATCACTTTGTATTTTAGGCGTGTATCAATTGCTGGGCTCCTGAGTGTGTCGGCTATATCAGAAAGCACAGGTGTAGTCTACCTAGGCATGGTGAATTGGGCCAGACCAGGAAATTTGTAACTAGTCAGATAAACAGGGAACCCATAATGCACTTGTAAAATAACGATTTCTCTCATTATTCTCTGTTTCCCTCCCTTCCCTATTTCCCATTGTTTTGCCTTCCTCCCCCACCTTTTCTCCTTTTCTTCAAAAGACAGCACTGTTGCTGAATACTAATGAGGCAATTCTTGGCCCTACCCGTTCATTTATTTTCAGGCAATTAATTCAACTTTCGAATATCTAGCCAGAATGTTATGTAGGTAATTTGTGGGTCTGCTTAATTTCTCAGGACCCTGTGGTTATCAGCCAGCGAAGCTCATTGTGAAGATGAGATCGCCCAGCTGGTAGGCAAGTTAGATTTCCACTGGTAATACCAGCCCTTCATTAAAGCCACCGAGTCCTTGAGCTTGGCATGTTTCCCTTGTTGCATACTTCACTTTCTGATTACAAATGGTTTGCAGCTTCCACATGTTTGCCTCAAGCACTCATTTTCTTTCCTGAAGGACACTGGGCCTGATGGCATCATTAGCAGTTTTTCAATATAAAATTTCACAGGGCTGTGGTAGCCCTTCCTGACTCTCAGATGTTGTGTATTTGTGACTATGGCAAACCAGCACGTTCACTCGTCCATCCTGAAAGCTTATAGAATGTAGCATAATAGATGCTTGGGATGACTGGGGGAAGGGGTAAAAGCAAGAAAAGAGAAAAGACATAATTTCTGCTCTCAGGGAATTTGCTATGAGCTCCTTAAAGTAGTGACCCATCATGCTAATTGCTGGGCATATAATAGGTGCTCATTAAATCTGTGTTCCTTTAGCTTGTGAATGAATGAATAAGACTGTGGGGTGGGGGAAGATAAAGAATATTCATCTAAAACATCTTGGAGAATAATTGTGGGGCAATATACGATTTGTGACAAGAAAACATCTGCTGAGGATAATTAAATGGTGGGGCGAGGTAGTCAGGGAAGGCTTCTTGAAGAATTTGGCAAGGATTTGCTGGGAAGAAGATAATCTTTAAGGAGAATAAATGATTTGCGAAGGGATGTTGTTGAGGATCAAATGAAATAAATTTGAAGGACTTTAAAGGATTAGAGATTAAGAGTACAGGATCTGGAGTCAGAGAGACTGGAATTGGATTCCAGTTTAGTTCTTTACTTGATGTTTTATGTTATGAAACTTCGTTACTTCTTTGGGCCTCAGTTTTCTCATTTGTAAAGTGGGGATAAGTCTACCTCATAGGATTGCTGTCAGGATTAGATAGAAATAATAAGAGATAACTTAGCACTATGCCTAGAATATAACAAACACTCAATAAACAGGTATTTTAAAATCAGTATTATTGGTTTATCTGGAATGAAGAAATATTTTTAAGGCATGAAAAGGGTGTGTAGAACGGTATTTTAATTTTGTAGGATTGAAGATATATGTTAGAAAATAAAAAACCACTGAAGATTTCCCATTAGAAGTTTTTTTTCTTTTCTTTTTTTTTTCTTTTTTCTTTTTTTTTTGAGATAGAGTCTCGTTCTGTCACCCAGGCTGGAGTGTAGTGGCACAGTCTCGGCTCACTGCAAGCTCTGCAAGCTCCACCTCCCAGTTCACACCATTCTCCTGCCTCAGCCTCCCGAGTAGCTGGGACTACAGGTGCCCACCACCACACCCGGCTAATTTTTTTGTATTTTTTTTTTTTTAGTAGAGATGGGGTTTCACCGTGTTAGCCAGGATGGTCTCAATCTCCTGACCTCGTGATCTGCCCACCTCAGCCTCCCAAAGTACTGATATTATAGGCCTGAGCCACCACACCCGGCTGAGAAAAGAAAAATTTTAAAGACAATGTTACGAAAAGACAAAAAACAATTCCTTTAGGCAAGCAAATTAGCTAGTGGGATGCAGTTATAGATTGGTGGAAAGGGAAGGGAGTGGTTGAACTAATGAGAAAAAGAAGGCAAACATGAAAGATATGATGTAGTAAGAACTGGCAGAAAGTGGTGGCCCAGTGGAAATAACGTGGTGTTGAGGAGAATGTAAAAAAAAAAAAAAGTCAAAGGTAGGGAGATAATGATCAAAGATTGGAGGCAACATAGTACCACTGACAGCGATGGACTGATTAATAATGCAAACGGAAGTATAAGGTAAAGGTGAAATTCAGCCAATCTAAATCTCTACGGATTTATTTTATTTGTAATTTGCACACAGTAAAGTTTACTCTTTTTGGTGTACTGTTCTATGAGTTTTGACATTGCATAGTCATGTAGCCATTATCACAATCTCACCGCCCAACATTTTCTCATGCTGCCGCTCTGCAGTCAACATCTGTCCTCATTCCTAACCTCTGGCGAAAACTGAGTGGTTGCCAGTCCATATTGTTTTGCCTTTTCAAAATGGAAAACTGCAATAGGTTGCCTTGGGAGTCTGGCTTCTTCCATTGTGCATATGGCATTTGAGATTTATCCACATTATTGTGTGTAACATTATTTCATTCCTTATTATTGCTGAATGGTTTGTTTATCCATTCACCAGTTGAAAGATTTCTGAGTTGTTTTCAGTTTTAAATGATTGTAAATAAAGCTGTTATAAACATTTGCATACAGGTTTTTGTGTGAACATAGTTGTCTTCTCTCTGGTATAAATACCTAGGAGTGGAATTTCTGGGCCGTATGGTAGTGAATGTTTAATTTCACAAGATATCATCAAATTGCATAGTGACCATACCATCTTACATTTCCACCAGCAATCTATGAGTGTTCCAATTGCTTTGCATTCTTGTCAGTATTTGGAATTGTCTGTTCTGTTTCTGTTAAACATTCAAATAGTTATGTAGTAGTATCTATTTTATTGTGACTTTAATTTGCTTTTTTCTAATGACCAATTATGTTGATCATCTTTTCGTTTGCTTAATTGTCATCCCTCTATCTTGTTTGGTGACCTACCTCCTCAAAAATTTCCATCTTTAAAAATTGGATTGTTTACTTTCTTATTGTTGAGTTTTGAGAGTTCTTTATACATTTGGCTAATAAATCCTTTGTCAGATATGTGAATTGCAAAATTTTCTCTCAGTCCAAAGCTTGTCTTTTTATTCCCATAATAGTGTCTTACTCAGAGCCTGCTATGGTCCCCCTAAATTCATGTTGAAACCTAGTCACCAATGTCATGGTGTTAAGACGTGGCTCCTTTGGGAGGTGATTGAGTCACTAATTCCTCATGAATGGGATTAGTAATCTTGTAAAAGAGGCCCCAGAGAGCTTCCTTAACCCTTTTGCCATGTGTACACAGACCCCAGAACTGTGAGAAATAAATTTCTATTGTTTAAAATCTGCCTAGTTTATAGTATTTTGTTATAGCTGTCCAAGTGAACTGAGAGAAGCCAAGTTTTAAGTTTTATGATGACTGATTTATCAATTTTTGTATTTTATGGATCATGATTTCAAGCCACATTTAATAACTCTTAGCTCAACTCTTGATAATAAAGATTTTTACCTAAATTTTCTTTTTAAAATCTCCGAAGTTTTGCATTTCACATTTAGGTCTATGATCCATTTGAAATTAATTTTTGTATGAGATGTGAAGTGTAGGTTGAGATTTCTGTTTGCATATGTTCTAGCATCACTTGTTTAAAAGATTATTCTCTTATCCATTGATAAGAGAATATGCCTTTGCATATTTTTCAAAAATCAATGACCATATCTGTGTGGATATATTTCTGAACTCTATTATTTTCTGTTGATCTATGTCTATATCTTTTCATCAATACCATGCTGTTGTGATTACTATAGCTTTATAATAAGTCTTGAAATTAGGTATTGTGTGTCCTCCTAGTTTCCAAGTTGTTTTGCCCATTTTGGGTTCTTTGCATTTTAAGAAAAATTTTAGAAATAACTTGTCAATATAGCTACAACAAAATCTCCTGGGGGTTTGAATGAGATTACATTGAATTTATAGGACAATTATGAGAGAATTGACATTTTAACAATATTGACTCTTCCAATTCATAAACAAACACAGTACATATTTCCATTTATTTATTTCATGGATGTTTTATAGTTTTCACCAGACAATCTGAATATATTTTTGTTAGATTTATATCTATGAATTTCATTTTTTGGTTCTATGTTAAAGGGAACTGTTTCATAATTTTGATTTCCAACTGTTTATTGCTATACAGTAGCATATAGAAATACACTTGACTTTTTTTATATTGAGCATGTGTTCTATAACCTTGCTAAACTCACTTATTAATTCTAGGAGACTATAGATTCTTTCTAATTTTATACATAGACAATCATGCCATTTGCAATTGAGAGAGTTTTTATTTTCTTTTCAATACATATTTTAATTTCTTTTCCTTGTCTTATTGTACTGGCTAGAACTTCTAGTATGGTATTGAATAGAAATTATAAGAATAAACATCCTTACTTTGTCCCAGTCTTAGAGAGAAGGCATTTCGGTTTCCACCATTTAGTATAATGTCAGATGTAGATTTTATGTAGATACTGTTTATCAGCATAAGGAAGCTTTCTGCTATTTTGAGTTTGCTAAGAGTTCTTTTCTTTTTTCAAAAATCATAAATGAATGCTGCATTTTTTGTCAAATGTTTTTATTGCATATATTGAGATAATCATTTAGCTTTTCTTCTTTAATGTTAATATCCTGAATTACATTGACTTTTGAATGTTGAACCAGCCTTGCATTCTAAAAATAAACCCACATTGTCATAAAATGTTGTACTTTTACATGTTGGTGAACTCAGTTTTTAGACACTCTTTAAAAAGATTTTTACACCTATTTTTCTGAGGGATATTAGTCTGTAGTTTTCTTTTCTTGTAATGTCTTTGTGTGGTTTTATTATCAAGGTAATCCTGCCTCACAAGATGAGTGAGAAGTATTTTCTTCTATTTTCTGGGAAAGATTGTGTCAAGTTTGTATTAATTTCTCTTTACATATTTGATAGAGTTTTCCAATGAAATCATCTGGGCCTGGAGTTTTCTTTGTTGGAGGGTTTTTTAACTACAAACTCAATTTATTTAATACATTTAGGACTATTCAACTTGTCTAATTCTTCTTGAGTGAGTTTTAATGGCTTGTGTCTTTCAAAGGGTTTGTCAATTTTATCTAGGTTGTTGAACTTATGGGCATAAAATTATTCATATTTTTAAATTATCCTTTTAATATTGTAGTACTTATATCTGTAAATATATATTCTCTTTAATTCCTGATACTGGTAACTTTTGTATTTTCTCTTTTTGTCTTTGCCACTCCAGATAGAGATTTATAAATTTTATTGATCTTTACAAAGAACTACCTTTTAGTTTTATTTCTTTATTGTTTTTCTGTATTTAGTTTTTATTATTTTTAGCTTCTCCCTTTATTATTTCCTTTCTTCTGCTGGCTTTGGGTTTAATTTGCTCCTTTTTTCCCCTAGTTTCTTGATGTGTAAGTTTAGATTATTGATTTAGGATGTTTCTATCTCTCTCTCTCGTTTTCCTTTTTAATAGGTTTTGTTGTTGTTGTTTTGTTTTGTTTTGTTTTAGACAGAGTTTTGCTCTGTCACCCAGGGCAGAGTGCAGTGATGCAATCTCAGCTCACTGCAACCTCCGCTCCCTGGGTCAAACAATTCTCCTGCCTCAGCTTCCCTAGTAGCTGGGATTACAGGCAAGTGCTACCACACCCGGCTAATTTTTGTATTTTTAGTAGAGAGAGGGTTTCGCTATGTTGGCCAGGTTGGTCGCAAACTCCTGACCTCAGGTGATCCACCCTCCTCGGCCTCCCAAAGTTCTGGGATTACAGGTGTGAGCCACTGAGCCCAGCTCTTTTTAATATAAGTCTTTCGCGCTCTATGAGAATACTTTGAGTTGTCAGTACTACCTAGTTAAACCTTAATATATAGATATGGATTTCATTTCATTGAAGGGAGCTTCCTTCAGTCAAGTGATTCCCATCATTTCAATTACACACAAATCAGCAGAGAATCCCATGAATTCTTCTACTAGATTTATTCAAGTGCTTCTTGAACATAAAAATAAAATTATCATTATGAAAAGAGACAAGTGAAATGAATCCCAGCCACCTACGTTTTATTCATCAGGCTCAAAAGGAGGTTCCTAAGGACATTTTCAGGATCAATTGAATCCTGAGGTTGAAAAACGTAAAACTGCAACATATGAAACTTATAAAAAATGATACACTTCATCCAGACTGTAGAATCAACAAGAATTTAATAATGTTAATCAAATAATTATAGTTCAATTGCACATAAATTTGAATTGTTTTCCCATTAAAGACTGCTTGTCTGTAAATTATTGCAGGGAAAGCCATTTTCAAGTTAATGTTTCAACCATTAGAAAATACAAAGGGCATTTTCATTAATTAGACACAGCTCTTTTTCTTCCTAGTTTATCATTACCTTTGCAAGGTGGAATCAGTTTAGTACTCAAGTCTATTGACATGTGTGATTCGATGACACTATTTGTTTAGAGATCATCATATACCTGGTGGAATAAGCTCATTAAGTATAAATGAATAGTTATGTAGTCATCATCTAAAATGAGTCAGTTCTGTTCTCCAGAGTCATTATAATGAATGTGAACACAGCTGGAATAAAAATCCCTGTGAAGGTTACAGGTTTTCTTCTGAAATATTTAAGGCTACAGCTTCATTCCTAGTTTTGAAGGCCCCTTGTTCAGGAAAAAGGGCTTGACCTCCCCTTGTGGAAGGTTGTCACATGCATTTATTGCCATCTTATCAAAGCTAGGTAATTCTGTTGTGGTTTCTTAGGAAGTACGGCAATATGGAAAAGCCAGAATTACCCTGCTTCTTTTTATTGGGTACGTTTTTTGTTTTCAAGAAAGGGTTGAATTCAAGGGTTGTATTTAAGAAGAATAGCCTTTGTGTGTTCTGGTGGCTGCTAAATAATTGCAATTATTGTGATGTGAGATTCTCCTATATTTGATTATCTCCCTGGTTCTCTGATGTTCACTGAAGAATGGGGAAGGGTGTGCAGGAAAAAGTGAACCCATTTTTGTTTTCTGAGATTTGCAGCCTGAATTATACATCTTGGTGCTATAATTGTTTTTAGTGTCTAAAGGCAGAAGTGGGTATTACCTGAATGTGTGACCAAGGGTGAAGGATTCACTAGGACAGTGCTCCAAAACTCTGCTTTAGAATTTTGCAGATAACAACAGCATTCCAGAACCTTATTTCAATCAACAGTCACCAATATGTATTTACAGCATGCATGCTATATGCCAATTAAATTAATATTCAAGATCAGGTGGCAAAATTCATAATAGAAGGAATTATGTTTTATCAGTGCACAGTTCTCTTCCATTTTTCTAGGAGTCGATAACAGATTAGCTCATTTCACATGTAGCACAATGAAGGAAATATCAGGAAAGAGTGAAAGCGCTGGTTTCTTATTACTTTTTATATTTTATATAACTCTATCATTCAGGTTAAACCTCTGGGTGTGAGGGTGATGAAATTATATGGCTAGAAGGAATTCCAAGGATGCAATATCACTTCCTTTCACCTTCCCTGTTTTCTACCTTTTAAACTACTTGATAGATTTTCCAGGACATTTTTCTACAATACAGCAATAACCAGGCATATTGCATATGATGAGAATATGGTCAAGATGTGAAGCCCTTTTAAATGATAGCTTTCTTCATATGATGAAAAAATATTGTATTAAGCAAGTGAATGGCTTATGCTTTTTGAGTATTTGTAAGTATTAAATATTTATTCAAATGGTAATACTTCATTAAGTGTAGAAATTAAACATTGAACCAGCAAGAAATTACATGTAAATAATTATATCTATTAGTGTAAAAAGATCAAGAGAAAGGAGAGAGAGGAAGAATATATTCTAAATCAATTTTTTCTTTTATTAAAAATTACTGCATAGTATTAAAAGTGGTCAGTCTCACTAGTGCCTTTATTTTCTGTATCCATCTCCCTCTTTTCTTTCTGTCTTTCTTTCTTGTTTTCCAATTCTTTCCACTCCCCACTGCAAGTGCCTCCTTCCTGTTGTCAAACACAGCTGCAGATTAATGCCTCTGTCCTCCCCCTGAGCCTCTCTACAATGCTCTTGCCTTCCCTGCAGGGGTGAAAACCTCACCAATTTTCACTCTAAATATTCATGTGCTTGATAAGACATAGTCTTAGTAAGTTAAGTTCTGAGTCTATTGCCTAAAAAAATCAAAGCAAATAATACTAGAAGCTTTGCACACAAACAGCCAAGTGGTAATGCACATAGGAGAGAACAATTAATTGGACCTCATTCATCTTTCAAAATAAATGTGTATTTTGTTGTCACTGTGTGCTTAGCAGATGTCAGGTGCTGGGGATATAAAGAGGAATAAAGTTCTAAGGGAGATTATGATTTGTTTTGCATTTCATTTTTCCTTGAGAACTCAGGAGAAACTTAATACCAAACAAATTAAAAGTGGTATGAATGAATAACCTGAAGTTAGGTAGGTGTAGTTTTCAAAATGAAATGTCTGTTATAGTCTCTCCACAATGTTCATTCTGTTTGAGGGTCAGTGTGTGGAGTAGAAATAAAGCCTTATGCTCCAGAGTCACACTGCTAGGTCCAAATTCAAGCTTGATTCTTTACTATGTGCAAGAGAGTAAGATTCGTGAGGATAGGGGTTTTTGTCTGTTTTGTTTCATTGATACAACCTAAGTGCCTGAAAGAGTAGGTGTTAAAAAAATATGGATGAACTTTTTTTTTTTTTTTTTTTTTTGAGATGGAGTTTTGCTCTTGTTGCCCAGGTTGGAGTGCAATGGCATGATCTTGGCTCACTACAACCTCCGCCTCCCGGGTTCAAGTGATTCTCCTGCCTCAGCTTCCCGAGTAGCTGCGATTACAGGTGTCCACCACCATTCCTGGCTACTTGTTGTATTTTTAGTAGGACAGTTTTCACCATGTTGGCCAGGCTGGTCTCGAACTCCTGACCTCTGGTGATCTACCTGCCTCGGCCTCCCAAAGTGCTGGGATTACAGGTGTGAGCCATCACGCCTGGCCTGGATGAACATTTAATGAATGAGCTGTCAGCTCAAGTTGAAACTTAATATCTTTTCCTTGGTTTTCTCATCCATAAAATAAAGCTAACACCAATAATTACCTAGTGGAATTTGAGCATTAAATGAGAATGTAAACCTTAGAATGGTGTCTGGATAAGAGCAAGAGTCCAAAAATTAATTGTCAGCTGTGTAGCTATCCAGAAACTGCCTATTGCACAGGCACTTCCTGCCAGGCACAGGTGGACACTGAATATGAGAATGAAGCAAAGAAACATTTACAATCTTTGCCTTCTAGGGGGAGCGAGGGTTACAGACATTAAGCTAACACACATGATAAGGATAATGATGAATTGTGATGAGGGCCAGGAAGAGAAAGCACATGAGAGGTAATAACGAGCAGGACCTGACTTGGATTTTGAGTCAAGGAAGGCTTTGTTGAAGAGTAATAGTTAAACTGGTACCCGAAGGTTGGGAAGAAATTAATCCACAGTAGGTGAGGCATGGGAGGTTCCATAGAGAAAAGGAACAGGGGAGAATGTGTGGAAACTCCAAAGCAGGAAAGAGATCGGTGTATTCAAAGAGAATGAGGAAGGAGCCAGTGTAGCAGAAGCATAATGAGGGTAGGAAAGAGACAGATGGAGACACAGGACAGATCACGTGGAGCCTGCAGACCAAGCAACAGTGTGTGCTTTTGTCTTCAGTGCAATGGGAGGCCATTAAAAGCCTGTAAACAGGCAGTGCCTTAACCCATGTTATGTGCAAAAAAATGCATTAAAGGAAGGAATTAAAAACTACTGTAGTGGTTAAGGCAAGGATTTGTAGTTTGACTCCTGCAGTGGCACTGATGATGGAAAAGTAGATGGATTTGAGCAATCTTTCGGAGGTTGAATTGAGAAAAATGCTTATATAAGCATTCCATAATATCTGCTGGGTGTAGTGGCTCATGCCTGTAATCCCAGCACTTTGGGAGGCCAAAGGAAGAGGATCATTTAAGGCTAAGAGCTCAAGACCAGCCTGGGCAACATAGTGAGGCCCTGTCTCTAGAAAAAAAAAAAGGCAGAGTGTGGTTACATGCACTTGTAATCCCAGCTACTCAGGAGGCTGAGGCCAGAGGATCACTTGAGCCCAAGAGTTTGAGGCTGCAGTGAGCCATAATCATGCCACTGCACTTCAGCCTGGGCAGCAGAGTGAAAGCCAGTCTCAAAAATATATAATATACATATATAATATATTTTATAAATGATATATATAATTTAGTTTAATTCTCCACACAAACAAATAACCTAATATTTTATTAATCCCACTTTGCAGATGAATCTGAATCACAAAGCCATGATTAACACACAGATTCGTTAGGCTTTGAGGTACAGGCACAACATCCAGCCAGCATGTGGTACTGCTCACCTTTTCTTGATTGTTGGTAGACAGGGGAAAACCATAGTTTGGGACCAAGAATTTCAAATGAGATAAAGTGAGCAGGTAACAGAGGTGCAAAAGGTTCCCCAGAGGACTGACACTCAACAACAGGACCATTTGATAGAGCACCTGAAGCTTTGTCCCTGTGTAGGAGGAGGCTGTGAATAATGCTTAGCCAGCTTAGACAATTCTTATATTTTTAGCACCTAGCTCATAGCAGATTCTTAATGAATTAATGAATGAATGATGAAATTAATAAACAAAGCAAATGAATGAGGAAGGCAATACACAGTATTATGTATTTGATTAAAGGAAGATCATCAGTTGATGGGGTCAGCGAGACCAGTGGACATCCCTCAGCTGTTGTGAATGTCTGCTGCAGACAGCTCATACTGCCCCTCTCTAGAGAAGCCCTTTGGGCCAAATAGGAGCTGGCAGGCCTCAGAGATTACTGCCCCTTATTCTTTGCCCAATAACAGATCCAATCAGGTACACAAAACACCTTCCCCTTTTCTCAAGATGGGGACTATTCTGGTGGAATCTGTTTCCAGTGGTTCCTGAGGGAGCAGACTCTTGCTAGACTCCATTTGACCCCATATTTTTGCTTGGCTTTTTCTCCATGCTCCATCCTGCTTCTCACATCCCTTCTTCTGAGAGCAATCTCTCTCAGTAAGTCACTTGAACAAAAATTCCCATCTCAGGCCCTGCTTCCAGGGAACCCAAAGTAAGATACTCATTGGTCTTAAGAATGATTTTCTACAGTAGCTATCTCCAAACCTGCATCCACAAAATAAATTATATGCATGCATCTTCTCTGTATTTATTTATGTGTAAACTATATACGTGCCATATTAGCCTGTTTTCATGCTGCTAATAAAGACATAACCGAGACTGGGAAGAAAAAGAGGTTTAGTGGACTTACAGTTCCACGTGGCTGGGGAGGTCTCACAGTCATCATGGAAGGCAAGGAGAAGCAAGTCACGTCTTACATGGTTGGCAGTAGGCAAAGAGAGCGCGTGTGCAGGGAAACTCCCATTTTTAAAACCATCAGATCTTGCGAGGCTTATTCACTATCATGAGAACAGCACGAGAAAGACCCACTCCTATGATTCAATTACCCCCCACCAGCTTCCTCCCATGTCACGTGGGAATTGTGGGAGTTACAATTCAAGATGTTATTTGGGTGGGGATACAACCAAACCATATCATTTTATCATTTTATCCCTGGCCCCTCCAAAATCTCATGTCATTTTTACATTTCAAAACTGATCATGCCTTCCCAACAGTCCCCCAAATTCTTAACTCATTTCAGCATTAATCCAAAAGTCCACAGTCCAAAGTCTCATCTGAGACAAGGCAGGTCCCTTCTGCCTATAAGCCTGTAAAATCAAAAGCAAGTTAATTACTTCCTAGATACAATGGGGGTATATGCATTGGGTAAATACAGCCATTTCAAATGGGAGAAATTGGCCAAAACAAAGGGGTTACAGGCTCTACGCAAGTCTGAAATCCAGCAGGGCAGTCAAATCTTAAAGCTCCAAAATGATCTCCATGTCTCACATCCAGGTCATGCTGATGCAAGAGGTGGGCTCCCGTGGCCTTGGGCAGCTCTGCCCCTTTGGCTTTGCAGGGTATAGCCCCTCTCCTGGCTGCTTTCACAGGCTGGTGTTGAGTGTCTGCAGCTTTTCCAGGTGCACGGTGCAAGCTGTTGGCACATCAACAATTTTGGGGTCTAGAGGACAGTGGCCCTCTTCTCGCAGCTCCACTAGGTGGTGCCCCAGTAGGGAATCTGGGTGGGGGCTCAACCCCACATTTCCCTTATGCACTGCCTTAGCAGAGGTTCTCCATGAGGGCCCTGCCCGTGTAGCAAACTTCTGCCTGGGCATCTGGGCGTTTCCATACAACCTCTGAAATCTAGGTGGAGGTTCCTAAACCCCAATTCTTGACTTCTGTGCACCCTCAGGCTCAACACCACATAGAAGCTGCCAAGGCTTGGGGCTTCCACCCTCTGAAGCAACAGCCTGAGCATACAGTTGGCCCCTTTTAATCATCACTGGAGCAGATGGGATGCAGGGCACCAAGTCCCTCTGCACGCAGCAGAGGGACCCTGGGCCCGGCCCATACAACCATATTTTCTTCCTAAACCTCAGGGCCTGTGGTGGGAGGGGCTGCCACAAAGGTCTCTAACAAGCCCTGGAGACATTTTCCCCATTGTCTTGGTGATTAACATTCAGCTCCTCGTTACTTATGCAAATTTCTGCAGCTGGCTTGAATTTCTCCTCAGAAAATGGTATTTTCTTTTCTATCACATTGTCAGGCTGCAAATTTTCCAAAGTTTTATGTGCTGTTTCTCTTTTAAAACTGAATGCCTTTAACAGCACTCAGGTCACATCCTGAGTGCTTTGCTGCTTAGAAATTTCTTCTGCCAGATACCCTAAATCATCTCTCTAAAGTTCAAAGTTCCACAAATCTCTAGGGCAGGGTCAAAATGCCTCCAGTTTCTTTGCTAAAACATAACAAGAGTCACCTTTGCTCTAGTTCCCAACAAGTTCCTCATCCCCATTTGAGACCACCTCAGCCTGGACCTTATTATCCATATCACTATCAGGCTTTTGGCCATTCAACAAGTCTCTAGGAAGTTCCAAACTTTCTCACATTTTCCTGTCTTCTTCTGAGTCCTCTAAACTGTTCCAGTCTCTTCCTGTTACCCAGTTCCAAAGTCCCTTCCACATTTTTGGGTGTATTTTCAGCAACACCCCCCTCTACTGGTACCAATTTACTGTATTAGTCCATTTTCATGCTGCTGATAAAGACCTACCCAAGACTGGAAAATTTACAAAAGAAAGAGGTTTAATAGACTTACAGTTCCAAGTGGCTGGGGAAGCCTCACAATCATGGTGGAAGGCAAGGAGAAACAAGTCGCATCTTACATGGATTGCAACAGACAAAGAGAGAGCGCTTGTGCAGGGAAACTCCCATTTTTAAAACCATCAGATCTCGTGAGACTTATTCACTATCACAGGAACAGCACGGGAAAGACCCACCCCCATGATTCAACTCCCACCAGGTTCCTCCCACAACACATGGGAATTGTGGGAGTTACAATTCAAGATAAGATTTGGGTGGGGACACAGCCGAACCATAACATGTGCATTCCTGTGCTAGTTATTATGTATCATGGATAGACATATGGACGTCTTCCAATATCTGATATTTTCCTATCCTAAGCTAGTGTAGTTGGCACCATGACCACCTAGAGAAACACTACACTCCTCTGCCTCCTTTGCACTTGTGCCTGGTTGTACAGCCAGATTCTGGCCAATGGGATGTAAATGGAAGTGTAAGGGAAATTCTGCAACCTTCCTTCCTTCCTTAAGGAAGAACTGGCATTTATCTTTCACTTCTCATTTTTTTAGATTTCACTTTGTACCACACTGTAGAGATGGCAGAGCAGAGAGATGGAAAAACTTGGTTCACTGACATCTTTGCAAAGTAGCATCCCCCTACCAGGCCCGAACTGCATATCTCCAGAGTTTTATAGGAAAGAGAAAGACTCTGATGTTGCTAAGGCCACTGCTGTTTTTGTTTTATTAGCAGCCAAACTTAATCATAATTATTCTAGTTGTACTACCCCTCCACCAGATTTTAACCTCTGAGAAACCTGATGCCTTTAAACAATTAGTGGCATTATAATTATAGTATTCTTATCTTTCTTAGTGGAACATACAATTATATTACCTATTTCAATTGATTACAACTTATATTTGCTAAAATAAGGTGACATATTGTAAGTTATAACAGCAAGCATTATAAATTATACACAAAAACAAATATGAGGACATGCTGATGTAGAGAAAGTAAATATTTAAATACATTAACATTTATTAATAGTATAAAACTTATTAGCCCTTGCAATATATTTGGTGAGAAAAACATGGTTGGATAGATTTTATTATTTTTTAAATTTTTGGTTTATTTACGAGTCATGGTGATTTCTAAATTCAGCTGATTTAAGTACTTGGTGTTATTACATGTCACATTTGAGAAAGATACCTCACAAAGATATTTACATCTAAACTGAAGTTCAAGATGGGTTACACTTACTAAATCACAATACTCATTATTCAATCCCAACCAACAGTGAAGCCAAGGTTTTTGCTTAAAGCCAGCTCATACATTTGCATCTTCCCTTATGTCAGTCAGTTGTTTTTGCAAACTAAACAGAAGGTGTTGCATTTTTACATTTGTTTAAACTCAATGTAATTCTATTTAGAAGATTTTTTTTTAGGTTATACATTTTTCTCCAACAGTTTTAAATATGCAGATATGCAAGCATTTTTTATAGAATATATACTTACATTATTATTGTCAACAAAAACACAATCCATGGAAATACTTCCAGGCATCCATTTTTGACACGCTGACTTCATAACATAAGCCTCTTTTGAAAAGCATTTACATTATTCACTTGTTGGCTGCCTTCTTGTCAGATTTGGTGAGACCGTCATTGTTTTTCCCTTGTAATGTGGCTAACACCTTTTATCAGATGCAAGAGAAGAATTATCTCTGCCATTTTCTTGTTCACATGTGCTTGCATTTTTAACCCTGTATCCAATGTGTGTGAGAGCACATGTGTACACACATATATGTACATGAGCGTGCTCTTGCTCAGGAATAATTTAAGACCACTTGTTCATTTTGTGAAGGCTCTTTTAATTAAAACAACATGATTAAGACAAGGGTTTTCTTAAGTAAGTCTACCTATAGTTTGATACCCAGTAGTGTGCACAAGGTGTGGGGAGGAGTTGGGGAGAGGGAGGGATGCCACTGTGGGCTGCTGGAATTGTGTTTCCCATGATACCTATCTGAATTGTAACCTAATGAGTGGTGTAGGAATGGGTGTGGCTGAACATTAAATAGAACAACTATTAGTAAAGTCAATTCTTTCTTGTTTTTAGATAAAAATTACATATTAATGAGTTTGAAAATTTTTTCCTCATAGCCCAGTGGATTGCTTGCCTATTTTCCCCCTTGGAATCCAAAGATTCCTCCTTTGGAAACCCTGGTTTTTAAGATGAATTCCTCAGCCTTGTATTCACAGCCTTCCCCAAAATGCTTCCCATTCATGTCTCCACCTTAATTCTTCATTTTTCCTTCACAAACCTCCAGAACGCTCTAGCTCACCTTCTCATTTTTCTAAGACATAGGGCACAATAGCACAGTGCTTCTCCAACTTTCAGCTACATACACTTCATCTGGGGATCTGGTTAAAATGAAGATTCAGTATCAGTATATGTGGGGTAGGGCCAGAGATTCTGCATCTCTAATAGACTCCCAAGTGATATTGATACTTCTGGTCCAAGGAGGACTTTGAATAAAAAGGAAATGAAGAAGAAAATCCCATCAGAAATATATTTTACTAACTCCTTGATACTGGGAGAGCCACATCTTGAGCATCAGGGTTTTAACACCTATTCTACAGTGTCCATTCATTCATTCATTCAGGAAACATTTCTTGAGTACCTACTGTGTACCAGGCATCATGACAGTTGCTGAAAAGTACAGGGTTTCAGATATCAAAAAATTGAGTCTAGTGGACCGTTGCGTGAGTTAAATGACTTATCCTTAAATGGAAGCACATATCGATATATTTATATGCATGTATGCACTTAAGTATTAGGGGTAGACACATACATGTGTGCATTTAAGTAACATGCACACACACGTGTTGCCACCTGAAGCCTTTGATTTACTCGTTTCCATTTGAGACTATCTCAGCCTGGACTTTTCTGTACATATCACTATCAGCATTTTGGTCAAAACTGTTCAACAAGTCTCTAGGAAGTTCTAAACCTTCCCTCATCTTCCTGTCTGCTTCTGAGCCCTCCAAACTGTTCCAACCTCTGCTCATTGCCCAGTTCCAAGGCTGCTCCCAATATTTTCAGGCATGTTTATCGCAATGCCTCACTTTCCTACTACCAATTCTTTGTATTAGTCCATTATCACACTGCTATAAAGATGTATCTGAAACTGGGTAATTTATGAAGAAAAGAGGTTTATTTGACTCACAGTTCCACAGGCTGTACAGGGAGCATAGTTGGGGATTCCTCAGGAAAGTTACCGTCATGGTGGAAGGGTGAAGGGGAAGCAAACAAGCGCACCTTCTTCACATGGTAGAGCAGGAGGAACAGAGAGAGTGAAGGGGGAAGTGCTACACACTTTTAAACAACCAGAGCTTGTGAGAACTCACTCACGATCATGAGAACAGTAAGGGGAAAATCCACCCCCATGATCTAAGCACCTACCACCAGGCCCCTCCTCCAACACTGGGAATTACAAGTTGACATGAGATTTGGGTGGGGACAGAGAGCCAAACCGTATCTATCTATCTATATCTACCTATCTACTCATTTGTATATGAATTTTTTCCTTTTCTTCGTCTTTTTTTTTTTTTGGCTTTAAATGTTAATCAACTAACATGTATTGACCACTGGTGTAAAGCAGTGTTTTAGATACTTTTCTTGTACTAGTTAATTTAATACTCCCCCAAACTCCAGATAGATACTTAATTCTTACTCCCATTTCACAAGCGAGGATACAGAGACATTAAATAACTTGTCCTAGGTCACAGTTACTGGAAATTGGAACCAAATTTGGTTCAATCACACTCACTTCAGAAGCTGGGTTCTTACTACTGTGGCAAACTGCCTTCTGTGGACCTGATAATGTATGATAACAGAATCTACACGTTATTCTGCACCTTGCTTATTCATGTAGAAAAATTTTTTTAAGATTGTTATGTGTAAGTACATATAGGGTTTCTTCATTATTTTCAATGAATATAAATACTTGGTTGAATTAATGGATATATATATATATATATATATAAAATTTAACTAGTCCCTTATTGATGGACCTTCAGGTTGTCTCAAATTTATTTCTGTTACAAACAATATCACGTTCAATATTCCATTATGTTGACTTATTAAATAAGACCGAAGTGTCAGTTTTAGTGCTGAAGACACACTACCACAAACATTTAAATCCTGAATAATATCATTGAAATTTAAAAGCAGAAACTACAACAACAAAAGTAATTAACAGAACTATAATGACATTAGAAGATCTTATACAATTTTCTCAGTTACTTTCAGATAAAACGTTCAAGGACTAACTAGAGCATGGATAATCTGAATGACAGTTGATATGGTTTGGATGTTAGTCCCCTCCAAATCTCATGTTGAAATGTGACCTCCAGTGTTGGAAGTGGGGCCTGTGGGAGGTATTGGATTATGGGGGCGGATCCCTTATGAATGGCTTAGTGCCATCATCTTGGTGACGAGTGAGTTCTCATTCAGTGAGTTCATGTGAAATCTAGTTGTTTAAAGGAGTGTGGTGTCTCCCCACTCTCTCTTGCTCCCACTCTTGCCCTGTGACATGCTGGCCCTTCACTGCTTTCTGCTATGATTGTAAGCTTCCTGAGGTCCTCTCTAGAAGCTGAGCGGATGCTTGTGCAGCCTGTAGACTGTGATCCAATTAAACCTCTTCTCTTTATAAATTGCCCACTCTCAGGTTATTCCTTTATAGCAATGGAAATAGACTGACAAAATAATCTTGTTTTAATAGATAATCAAATTTTATACTATACAAACAGCAAATGCATTTTATTACAAGTATCTCCTTGGCCAGCTATTAGACAACATTCCGAAGTGCATTATATTAAAATTGGAAATTGATACTGAAAGTATAAAGAGAGAAAAGCTGAATTATTTGGAAAACATTCTAAAAAATCCTTAGGTATAGGAAAAACTCAAAATTTCTTAAATATGGAATATTTGGGAAAATAATGATGAGATCAAGCAAGCTGTACTGAAGGAAAATTCACAGTATTTTAGAAAGGACAAATTACACATTATTATTCAACTCAAGAAATTATAAAAGAAAGAAAAATATACCTATGCAAAGCAGTTAGAATTAATGAGCATAAAAGCAAAAATAAATGAATTAATAAATAGCATCGAGAAACAAATGTAAGTATTGGCTGTTTGAATAAAATGATTCTTTAGGAAACCATAAAGAAGAAAGATAGAAAAAATAAGCAGGGAGATAAAGGGAGCCCAATCAAGTGAAAAGAGAGGAAATAAAAATGGAAAAAAAAGGCATTTTAAATTAGAAATAACTGCAGATATCAGGATTAAATAAATTTATAAAGTTTTTAAATTGCATTTATGATAATATTTCAAAACTTAGATGAATTGGATGAATATCTAGGAAAACATAAATAACAAAAAATAATAATACCATGACAGAAATTATCAGTGGTCCAGAAGATTCTCTTTTAAATTGTGCCTTAGTGTCCATACAGTTTCAAAGTGAAGTCTTTTAAACCTTTAAGGAATGAATTGTTCTTACACTATGGTATGCAATATTGTAAAAATTTAATCTTTTCACAATTCCATGAAACCGACATTAGGACACATCGTATAGCATATAATGGACATATTTAATGTGTTATTATTTCAATATTTCTTTAAAATCTTCTGTTAAATTAATAATGCACTTTATAATACATAAAGTCATAGATGTTGAATATATTATTCAACAGAGATTAATGTCAGAAAATAATTCTGTCCCCTTCCCCCATGACATGCCCATTGCATGTCTATGGCCTATAAACTTATCTGCACAAAAGAAATTTAAATAATAGTTGTTTTACAAATGCATACATTTCTCTGAATAGACCAGAAATCTCCTTAGGTCATGGATTGTGCCTTCTGCTTCTATTTTGCCCACCATTGTGTAAAAAATAAAATTTGGCCAAATAGAAAATGATGATATATGCTTTTTAGCGGGTGTAAAGTGCAGTTTTGTTACATGGATATATTGCGTGGTGATAAAGTTTATGTTTTTAGTCTTACCATCACCTGAATAGTGTACATTGCACCCAATAGGTAATTTTTCATCCCTGACACCCACCATCCTCCCACCTTTTGGAGTCTCCAATGTCTATTATTCCACTGTCTATATCCATGGGTAAGCATTATTTAGCTCCCACTTAAAGTGAGAATATGTTATTTGACCTTGTTTCTGACTTATTTCCCTTTGATATGCATGCTTTTGAGAGAATGAACAACATCAGCAATATAGCATAGTGAATAAAAGCACAGGATTTTTAGTCCCAAAAGCTGAATTTTGGATTCTAGCTCTGCCACTTTATATCAGCAGGACCTTGGACAAATTACTTAGCTTATTTTAAGCTTTAGCTATTCATGTTTAAATATGTGTGATAATAACTTAGCAGGAAGGTAAACAGGAGGATTGAAATATATGATTATACATAGAAGACATTTGGTACAGTCGTGGTCTCTAGTAAGAAATTCTTAAATGAGTACGGTGATGAACTGCCTTTACCATTTCAAATGCACATCCCCCTAGATGGGAATCTCCATGTGGGAGGAAGAGTCTACCTGTCTGGGCTGTTTTATCAGTTGTACTTAGACTAGTGGTTAGAATACAGCAGCCATTAAATAAATGTCTGTTGAATGAATGAATCAATAAATTTCCAGTGTTCACCAAGCATAATTTGCTTAGTGTGCCTTAAAATAACTCATGGTACAAGGTTTTCATTATTGCAACATTGAGCAAGATTTTATTTCTTCTATTGTTAATAAAAGATTGCTTTTAAGGACTTGATGAGTACATATTTATCTTTTATATGCACCATACCTTTAGTTCTCCTGGCAGTTTTTCTTATTTCATGTCATAAAGGAATTATGTGTTGGAGAAATTTTTCTATCAATATTTTGTAGTAATAAAAGAAGCTGAATGAAATACACTGGAGACTGACAGAAAAAAATATATAGCCTAGCATCTGAGTCATATGATTAACTTTTTTAAACACAAATTTATTCATTTAGTGTGTACCTACCTCCATCTTCCATCACTCCATTCTAATAATGAGTTTCAAAGATGAAAATAATTATTTCACCAAAAAGATAATTTAGTGCAGGGCCTATATGAGTTTTAAAAAGGCATGAGCCATCACTCGCTTGAAATTGTCATCAAATTCCTTCCATTTAATGGTCATTTAAAAAGCTACTCTACCCCCTCCCCTCCATTCATTCAGGATGAATGTGAAGGTGCACATCCAGGGAAAACAACAATCAATTTAGCAGTTAATGCTCACTGTTTCCATTTCAGAGTGTTTACATTTTCCTTCAGCTTCTTCTAATGCGGCATTGTGAGATTTAGGAAAGAAGTCACCACTCTCTCAGCATTGCGGCATATGTGAGCATTTCTTTGCTTATTCTTTGTGGAGGCATTTAGTTAGAATTTAACAGAGAAACAACAACAGCTGGAAATATCTTTCCCCACCCCAGTGAACACAAAAAATTAATCATCTCAGAGAGTCTGTATTAAACCTGAGACAGTGCACAATGCAAATATGGCACAAAGTCTATCCTTACATTTATTTGCAAATGTGTACAGATATGCTTCATATAAATTAATCCTCCATTTCATTATAAAGAAGGAATTACGTCTGTGGTCAAAGGGTGGTGGCGGCGGGGAGCGTTAATCTGATTTAGCGCAGCATGTGAAAAATTAATTGAAAGTCACAGCTCCATAGTGTTTATTATAAAGTAATTTCACACCAGCTCAGGATTAGCATGGTAACGGGTGACAATAGGTCATCACTATGTTAATTGAAAGACAGCATGCTTTGTAAAGAAGGAGGCAGAAAGAGAAGGAGGGAGGGAGAGAGAGAGAAATTGATTTAGAGACACAGGAATTATAATATAGGAATTGATGGTGGTTTGTGACAAAGGGTAGAGAAAGGACAGGACCCATTGAAAAAGATAGCCTCTTGCAAAATCAAGTGGCTCTCCTTGGGGTAGCCTAAGCAAATAGTGTTTCTGGTGACATGAAGCTCTGAAATACTCTGAGACTCCTATAGTTAGAAATGCTTTTTAGTTTCTGCACCTTTCAGAGCTGGCTGTCTAATAACTGAAGGAGCTGACATGTTCTATGTTGGTGATGTTGGGGTCAGCAGAGAAGAGGAAAAACCCAGGCCCTTGGCCAAGTGCTTTAAATTCTCCTCATCTTTTTTTCTCTGAGGATACAGCTTGGCTCTCAGAGAATCTGAACTCTCACCTAGAAAGATTAGTGCAAGGTTAGTGCAATCAGCATTAGTGGTAAAGTGAGGGCATCTTTCATTCACCAACCTCAGGATCAATACAGCTGATACCAGCGGACACGTAACAGAACATAACCTGTCATTTTGACGTCATGCTGAATGCATGGCCACATCAGGCTTGTCGTTCTAACTGAGTGCAGAGTCCATTGAGCATCTCTCTCTGCAGCAACTGGTGCCTACCACACTCTGGCGTCCCTCCCGTGGGCTGTGAGCTGGAGTGTACAACACAGGATCACAGCCTACACTTCAGCAACTGAAACAGAAGAGCGCGTTTCCTGTTGTATTTGCATAATGGAGGTAGGTTAAAGAAGTTTCATGACTAACAAATCATACCACTGGCACAGGTCACACAAGATGAATTGCGAGCGAGAACTCTGTTATTAATTGCAGTCATTGTTGGGGTCTGGGCTAGTGGCTTATTAAGGATTTAAATATGCATTTTCACAAGAGTATAGGCAACTGAAAAAGTAGGATGATGTAATGCGTATATCGTATATAAGCAATCTGGGAACTGACTCAAGGAAACCAAATTTACAGAAACGGATGACAGAGAAATTATAGCTGTGAAGTGTGGGTGAGTAGTGTGCTTGCAAGTCATACGTATGGGTAAGAAGGGGTGGTGGTTGGAGCAAGAGGAAATCAGTCTTGTTTATTTATAAAGAGAAGAAATTGTCTTTTAGGATTCTGCAGTTCTCTGTGGTATGAGCTAATGAGTGTGACCTTTCGGCCTACACTTTCTTATGGAAAGTTCGTAACCCAGACTGACACAAGCTGTTGTAATATGTTAATTTTGACCTAGCTCTGCCACAAATACTAACGATGATCTCCAAGACATTTTCACTAAGAAATACAGTCTTTTCAGATATAGCTTTCAGCACTAAGTATTTCAATGACCTTTCTAATGAAGGTCAAAATTAAAAAAGCAAAACAAAACAAAAAAACCCCAAAAAAAAACCAGAAAAGAAAAAGTGGTGTGGGGAAATGGGAATGCTACAGAGGTTGTTAACTGTGAGGTTAGCATTCCAGGCACAGTCCTTTCTCCTTCATCCTTTCAAGAAACTTTGTTCCTTAGAAGAGTGTGGGAAGAGGTCAGCTGGAAGTTATCTGGAAAAAATTGAGTGGAGATGCATTCAGAGAGAATGGGATGAGTTTGGAATCTCCCCTTGAGAAGCCAGGTGTAATTTTCTAAGATAGAAGGAAATGGGGAAAGCAGGCTCACTCAGCAGGGAGCGTTCCACGACACTGGGTCAACATTCATTTATTTGAGGGCTGACCACCATGAATCACAAGCTCTAATGCCTACAGAAGTCAACCATGTACTAGAAATCAGTGAAACAGAGAAGTAGGTGCTTCTGAGGATTGTAATGAACTGGGAGAACAGGAAGTGGCTATTCATCCCAGGCTGATTATTGCAACATAGAGATATGGGCCAACTGTGTCTGTATCTCTTGACGTTTAAAGAGGGGACAGAAAAAAGTACTTTAATATGAAATCTCCTGGCCAGGCAGTGGCTTACACCTGTAATCCCAGCACTTTGGGAGGCCGAGGCAGGTAGATCACTTGAGGCCAGGAGTTTGAGACCAGCCTAGCCAACATGATGAAACCCAGTCTCTCTACTAAAAATACCGCCCCCACCCCCCCAAAAAAAAGAAAGAAAAAAGAAAATAAAAGAAAATTAGCTGAGCATGTTGGCACATGCTTGTAATCCCAGCTACTTGGGAAGCTGAGGCACGAGGATCGTTTGAACCCAGGAGGTGGAGGTGGTAGTGAGCAAAGATCGTGCCACTGCACTCTAGCCAGGGAGACAGAGAGAGACTCTGTCTCAAAAAAAAAAAAAAAAAAAAAAAGGAAAAGAAAAAAAAAGAAATCTCCCAATTTCTAAGTGTTGACAACTAATATAAATGTTTTAATTACTGTGTGGACCTAACAAATCTGACTATGAGCGTGACACAGCCATATATATGTCCATTGTTTGTCACTGTGGCTTATGGCATGGGCTGCTGGCCTCCAGTTCTTCTCTGAAATCTACTTGCTGGAGACAGGCACCTCTTCTTCTGTGTGTTCACAGATTTAGTGTTTGCTCTTAGTATATTTTGTGATTTAAAGGTTATATAAGTTTTTCCCTTTCTTATTAGTGACTCTCACTTCTCTGATAAAGAAAAAAAGGCAAACATATGCAATGTGGTTTCTATGACCTACATGATTGAAAAGTGTTGAATGAGAAAGCGTTTCTTGAAACGTCAATGTTACACATTTTTCTTTTTGCTTAAAAAATAAAAAACTGTTTTTTTGTTCTAGAGAAGGAATTCTTAGCAATAGATTCACTCATGATCTTCAGTTGGGACCCAAGCATGCTAAAACTGTACACAAAATTTTGCATGTAAATGGGTTCTCTACAATTCCATTTGGGAGGGAGTCTGTAGCTTTCATTGGCTCCAAAAGTGAGTTCATATCTCTCCTCAAATAGTAGTATCCAGTGCTCTAGGTTTTATTGATAGTCTTTCACTTTTTGTTCGGAAAAAAATGTATATTTTATTTGTTTCAACTGTATCACCTGAAGGCCACAATTAGAAAAAAATGACAAGGAGCTCATTCATCACACCTATGGCATAAAATCTAGAATCATACATTTGATAAATATGCCAGGTTATTAGACTATCATTGTTCAGCTATTTCTGAACAGGTCAAATTAGTTTTCTAGAAATTTAAATAGACATGTGCATGAAATTTGATAGAACTGATACTTTCCTAGACATTACATTTTTGAGGTCGCAAACTAGGTGGGCACTTGTCATTCTTTTTAATTGCCCAGCATCTGAACCACCTTATCAGATTTTTAGAATTCATGGAATTAATTCAAAAAATTAATAAATATTTCTGATGAGAATGTATAGAATGAGAGGAAAATAGGGATAAGGTACCCAGCTTTGAAGCAACTCAATTCATGATTGATTTGTGATCTTCCTCCAAACTAACTTTCTTCAAGAAGCAAAAGTAAATGTTCTCTGGAGGATTATAACATCATCCAGAGCCTCAAGTTCTTTCAATATTTTCTCATAAAAAAGTCTACTGCTCAGAATAAAAAATAACAAGGTAGAGAAGATAAAAATTCACCCAGAACCAAGAGGAATAAAATGGAAACAGGTCCACAGTTAATGCAACTATTGAAGTACATTCATGCACCACATAACAATATTTCAGTCAACAATGGACAGCATATATGATGTTGATCTCATAGGATTAAAATGGAGCTGAACAATTTTTATTACCTAGTGATGTTGTAGCCATCATAATGTTGTAGCGTCATAGTGCAATTTTTAAAATAAATTTAGTGTATCCTAAGTAGACAGTGTTTATAAAATCTACGGTAGTATAGTGTTCTGGGCCTTCACGTTCACTGACCACTGACTCCGTGACTCACTTAGAGTAATTTTCAGTCCTGCAAGCTCCATTCATGGTAAATGCCCTATACAGGTATACTATTTTTTACATATTTTATATTGCATTTTTACTGTACCTTTTCTATGTTTAGATACAAAAATACTTACCACTGTTTTATAATTGCCTATAATAATCAGTGCAGTCACATGCTATATAGGTTTGTAGCTTAGGAGAAATAAGCTATGCTATGTAGCCTGGATGTGTAGTAGGTTATACCATCTAGGTTTGTATAAGTACACTCCATGAGGTTTATGTGACAAAATCACCTAATGGCACATTTCTCAAAACATATCCCTGTGTAGTTAGACTTAAAGTGAGTGTGATTAATATACATTCATGAAATTACATGGTAAGATATAGAATTTCAGAAGAGAGTAGAAATACACTCCTCAGACTCAAATGGAAATTCTAGAACTGACAAATACCTAAAATCAACAGATTTATGGGTATATTTAACTACAGATTAGATTTAGTTGGAGAAAATACTGTTGAACTGAAATACAGATCAAAAGAAAATATCCTGACTAAAGCACAGAAAGACAATGGATTAGAAATGTCAGGGAAGAGCATTAGAGGCATATGGAATGCCAAGATGTCTTAACATATGTGTAATTGGAATTACAGAAGAAAGGGAGGGAGGGGAGAGAGAAAGAGGCAGAGAGAGAGAAGAAATATTTATTATTTGAAGGAATAATGTCAGAAAAATTTCCAAATGAATGAAAGACATGAAGCAACAGGTTCAAGAGGTGATGTGATCCCAACACAGAATAAATACAGAGAGACCACGTACAGATACATGATAATAATACTGCTGAATACAAAAGACTAAGATAAAAATGTTAAAAATGTTTAAGGAAGTCAGAAAATATTATAATACCTTTAAAGGAGCAACAATAAGGCTTATCAAAAGAAATGATGCAAGACAGACCACAATGCATATTATCTTCAAAGTGCCAAAGATTTCTATGTTCAGCAAAAGCAGCATTAAAAAAGGGCAGAGCAGATATGAACTTCTGCTTCCAGACAATATGGAGTAATAGGAAACGGATTTACCCTCCTACCTAAAGCAAACACAAAACAGGAAAAAATAAAGAAATCAAAAGTTTGAAGGCATTGGCCATGAAGGCAGTCAAAATGATGTCTGAGAGATTTGAAGCAGATATGGTAAGCACTGCAATGGTAAGCACTGCAATTACCCCAACTGAATGCCTTGAGAGACTTTCCAGTCCACAGTGCAGAGAGAGGAGATCCTCAAAACTTAATGAGAAGAAAACAAACTATCCAGTAAAGAATGGGCAAAATATTTGAACAGATTCTTCACCAAAGAAGATAAATGAACTACAAATAAAAACGTAAAAACAGAGTTCCCCAACAAGGCTGGTCCATGGCCTGTTAGGAATCAGACCACACAACAGGGGATGCGTGGTGGGCAAGTGAGTGAAGCCTCATCTGTATTTACAGCCACCTGAGCTCCGCCTCCTGTCAGATCAGCAGCAGCATTAGATTCTCACAGGAGCAAATCCTATTGTGAACTGCACATGTGAGAGATGTGGGTTGTGTACTTCTTATGAGAATCTAATGCCTGATGATCTGTCAATGTCTCCCATCACTCCCAGATGGGACTGTCTAGTTGCAGGAAAACAAGCTCAGGGCTCCCACTGAATATACATTTTGGTGAGTTGAATAATTGTTTCATTATATATTACAATGTAATAATAATAGAAATACGTGCACAATAAATGTAATGGGCTTGAATCATCCTGAAACCATCTCCCTCCTACTCTGCACTCCCTGCAATGCCCCCTCATGAATACATGGAAAAATTGTCTTCCACAGAATTGATTCCTGGTGCCAGAAGGTTGGGGACTACTGCATAAAAAGGTACTCAATACAATTAATTTTTAGGAAGTAATCATTAAAACCACAATTATATATTTCTACAAACCTACTAGAATGGCTAAAACTAAACCAGCTGACCATACCAAGTGTTGGCAAAGACATGGAGGGATTGGAACTCTCATACACTGCTGGTAGAAAAGTAAAATGATGTAACCACTGTGGAAAAGTTGGACAATTTTTTAAATAGTTAAAGTATACCTCCCATATGAATCAACCATTCTATTTCCACCTAATTACATAAGAAAAGTGAAAGCATGTGCCTATATAAAGATGTAAACACAAATGTTCAAAGCAGTTTTATTTGTATTAGCTCTAAACTCTAAACAAGTCAAGTGTCTGTCGAAAGGTAAGTGGGTACTTTGTAATATATCCATACAGTAAACTATAACAAATGGGTGGTCTTAAAGTAATTATATTGACTGAGAGGCCAGACCAAAACAAAAACGATATTACATACTATATAATTCCATGCACATAAAATTTTAGAAAATGTAAACTATTGTGACAGAGAATAGATTAATGATTGCTTGGGAGTTTCAGGAGGGAGAGATTAACCATTGAGGTGCAAGAAAACTTTTGAGGTTGATGGATATATTCACTCTCTTGATTATGGTATAGTTTCACACGTGTATTACATAAGTCAAAACTTATCAAATTGCACACTATAAACTGAACATGTTCAGCTTTTTTTAATCCACTATATTTTAAGTTGTTATAAAATGAAGCCAAAATAAAGACGTATTAAAATAATAATAATGAGAGAATTCTTTATCAGCACACCTGAACTAAAGAAAACACAAAAGGAAATGGAAAATTATCTTAGAACGGAACAGAGAGATGTAAGAAAGAATGAAGAGTAATGAAGAGGGTAAATACATGGATAAATCTAAATGAGTAATGATTAAAACAATAAAATAATATCTTAGGCCATTTAAGATGTCCGTAATGATACAGGTAAACAATAAGTCAAAGATGGAAGAGAGTAAATGAAGTTAAAAAGTACTAAGTTCCTTTCATTGTTTGGGAAGTGGTAAATTATAGCAGCGTTAATAAGTTAGTGATGTATATTGTACTTTTAAGATAATATGGAATAAAACAGTAAATATAATCATATGACATGAGAAGAAAACAACAACAACGATAATAAATTATTCCAATGAAAGCAAGAAGGAGTGAAAATGAGACATAGAACAAATGCAACAAACAGAAAACAAGTATTAAAATTGTGTACTTAAAACCAGGTAGATCAGTAATACTTCAATTAAAAATCAAAGATAAAACTGCATAAAACAGGCTATATAGAGCAACAAAATCTAGCTACATTCAGTTTATGTAAACACTGAAAGTAAAGGGATGGAAAAGGATATACCTTTTATCCAGTAACTAAAGAAGGCTTGTATTGTTATAATAATATAAAGCAAAGTAAACACCTAGGTTAGAAATACTGTAGATAAGAAGAACATAAAGGTGTCATTCCACCCAAAACACAGAACAATTCTACATTAGTATGGATCCGATAATTTAGCTTCAAGATATGTGAAACCAAAATTGATGGAAGTAAAAGTAGAAAAATTAATAATCTTCCATACACAAGCACCAGACCTACTAGGTCTTCTCATTATCCATGTAAACCACATGTTAGATACATTTTTGAAAGTAGAGGAAAGAAGGAAGCAAAATATCACATTTTGGTGTCTCTCAGGCTTTTTTCCCCAACTATAGTTTCGTTGCATTATGTTTTAACATAGTTATGCTGCTGTCTTCTGTAATGATTCAGTTTTGTGCAGCTGTTTTCACTGAGCATATTGTGGGCCTCTCCCCATGTTATTACTAATTTTATTTTGGAGTGGCTGTGTAGTCTTCCATCGACTAGATGGACTGTTGTGCCAGTTGCTGATCACTAATGCTGTTACTAAGTTTTAGTTATAAATTGATGAATATCTTTGTGCACAAGGCTTTTTCCCAATGTCAAGTTATTTTCTTAGGATAGACTCTCAGAGGTGGGATTCTTGAATTAAAGAAGATTAAAACCTTTGAGGCTTTTACTACATATTGACAAAATAGTTTCCGGAAGCATTTGTATCCACTTACACTGCCACCAGCAAGTATAAACATGGCCATCTTGCCAGTATTTGGAATTATCATCTGGCTAAATATTTGCTAATTTGATAATGAAAAAATAGCATTGGCATTTCATTGATTTATAGCATGGTTGAGCATCTTTCATGTGAAGCGACTGTATTTCCTCTTTTGTGGATTGTCCATATCCTTTGCTCTATCTTCTGGGGTCTGATAAATTTGTATGAGCTTGGTATATATTAAAGATATTAACCTAGTGTTTGTCATAAGAAAATAACAATCATAGAGGGAAAATTTAACACACTTCTTTCAATAGTTGATAGGGCAAGACCACAAATGGTTGATGAGTATATAATAAACTTGAACACATATTTAACAAATTTGAGCTAATTGACATACATAGAAAAATTATAAATTATACCCAACAACATGGTTTCAATGAACAGGGGCAAATATTAAAAACTGATCACATTCTGGGCCACAAAGTAAGTTTCAAAAAAATTTTAAAGGATTAAAATCATAAAGAGTATGTTTTTTGGAAACGGTGGAATTAGATTAAAAATCAACAAGAAGAACAAAGATAGAAAATCCCTTTATATTTGAAAATTAAGTAACACACTTCTAACAAATTGATAAAGAAGAAATTACAGTAGAAATTAGAACATATTTTGACTAAATAATGATGAAAATAGGTGTTTTAAAAATTGTGAAATGCAGCTAGCTAAAGCTATCTTTAGAAGAAAGTTTATTATGCCTGTAATTCCAGCTCTTTGGGAGGCTGAAGTGGGTATATCACCTGAGGTCAGGAGTTCGAGACCAGTTTGGCCAACACGGTGAAACCCTGTCTTTACTAAAATATACAAAGATTAGCTGGGTGCGGTGGTGGGAGCCTGTAGCCCCAACTACTCAGGAGGCTGAGGCAGGAGAATCACTTGAACCCAGGAGGCGGAGGTGGCAGTGAGCTGAGATCACACCACTGCACTCTGGCCTGGGCAACAGAGCGAGACTCTGTCTCAGAGAAAAGAAAAAAAGAAGAAAAAAGTTTATTGTCTTAAATACATATATTGTAAAAGAAGATGGGTAAAACCTAAGACATGGATTTTCAACTGGTGTAATTTCATCCGGGGGACAAAAATTAGTATTAGTGAAAAAAATCGTATTCTTTTCAGACATGAAGCACAGGCAGATATACAGTACATATATATAAAATATATCCTTAGTATTTAAATTTGAAAAGGAAGCCAATTAAGAAAAGCATGTCTAAAGAGTTTCTTAGGGGGCAATAATAAAAATAACTTGAGAAAAACTTTTTAAAACATGCATGTTAAGAAATTTCAAGAAGAAAAGCAAATTAAACACAAAGAAAAGTAGGACAGAAATAATCATAGAAAGTAGCAAAAATTAGTAAAATAGAAAACCAATGTACAGGAGGAAAATAGAGAGCTTGAAAAGCACTATAAACCAACTAGATCTAAACAGACATCTATAGGACAGTCCACCCAACAACCGAATACACATTCTTCTGAAGTGCACACAGACTATTCTCCAGGATAGACCACATGCTAGGATGTAAAGCAAATGTCAATAAATTTAAAAGAATTTAAATCATACAGTATATGTCCTCCAGTCATAATGGAGTGTAATTAGAAATCAGTAACAGAAAGAAATTTGGGAAACTCACAAATATGTGGAAATTAAACAGTATACTGTAAGCAAAGTTGGAAGACTCACATTTATTGATTTCCAAACTGAAACAAAGCTATAATAATCAAGAGCGTGATATTGACATAAAGATAAATAAAGAAACCAATGGAGTAAAATTGAGAGTTCAGAAATAAAATGGTGTAAGCACTTTAGAAAATGATATACAGTTCCTCAAAAGGTTACACACAAAGTTGCCATATGGCCCATCAATTCCACTCCCATACTAACATGATTCAAAATAGCCCCAAATTGGAAACAACTCAAATGTCCATCAACTAATCAATGAACAAATAAAATCACAATGGAATATCATAAATATCATGGACATAAAAGGAAATTAAGTACTGATACATATTACATGAACAGAGCTTAAAGAAAGTTATTCTAAGTGAAATAAATCACACTTAAAAGACCAGATAGCATATGATTTTGTTTTTATGAAATGTCCAGAATAGGCAAATTCATACAGAAAGATAAGTTGTTGCCTAGGGCTGGGAGCATTAGGGGAAAATGGGGAATTATTTTCTTTATCTGCAGAGATAAAAATGTTCAAAAATTAATCCTGGTGATTGTTGCACAACTCTGTGACTACACTGCAAATCATTAAATTGTATACTTTAAATGGATCACTGTTTGGTATGTGAATTATATCTCCACAAAGCTGTTTTTTTAAGGTAGTACAATTTCTATGTAGTTCTTATGAGACACTTGCTCTTGATATCCAGCTGCCACATTGCAAGGAAGTCGAAACTAGCTATTTAAAGAGGCCACGTGTAGGTGTTACAACTGACAGCTGTAGTAGGGGTCCCGATGACAGCATACATCAATTTCTATACTTCTGAGTGCAGCAGTATTCAAATTATTTCATCCTCCCATCCTTTGAGTCTTCCCAGTGGAACTCTATACGTTGTGCAGCAAAGAGATGCCATCCCCATTGTGCCCTCTCTGAATTCCTGACCCAGATAATCTGTGATCATAATACAATGGTTGTTATATAACAAAAGAAGAGGGAAAAGGGAATCAATGTATATTAGAGGTTATCAGTAATGTCAAACTTAGTGCTATGGTGTAAATGTTTGCCATCTTCAAAACTCATGTTGATGTTTAATTGCCATTGTAACAGTAGTAAGAGGTGGGGCCTTTAAAAGATGATGAGGCTTTAGACTACAATCTGTGAGAGCTGCTCTGTGGGCTGAGTCTGGCAGATCCATGGGTGGGGGAAGCTATTCAAGGCCTTTGGGGCTCTACCCCTGCTTTAGTGTGTCCAGAAGATGGGACATGGAGTCAAGGAAGATAATTCTGGAGCCTTAAGATTAAATATTGTGTACCCTGTTGGGTTTGAAACTTGCTTGGGATCAGTTACTCTCCCCCAGCCTTTTCTTTGCCTACCTGTCTGTTTTGGAATGGGAATGTCTATCATAGTTTTTTTCCACTATTGTGATTTGGAAGTAGGTAACTTATTTGATTTTACAGGCTGACAGCTGCAGAGGAATTTGCCTCAAGATGAGTTGTACCCTGAGTCTCATGCATATCTGATTTAGATGAGACTCTGGACTTTGGACTTAAGAGTTGGTGCTTGAACGACTTAAGATTTTTGGACCTTGGGATGGAATGAATGTATTTTTGTACGTGAGAAGGATATGAGTTTTTGGGCCGGGGTGGAATGCTATGGTTTGAATGTTTGCCTCCTGCAAAACTCATGTTGAAATTTAATTGTCATTGTAACAGTATTAAAAAGTGGAAACTTTAGGAGATGGTTAGGCCATGAAGTCTTTACACAGGGGCTTTCAGGCATAGACTTTTTCTCCTCTTCTCTGCTATCTGATGACACAGCAAGAAGGCCATTGCCAAATGCCTGCACCTTGATATTGGACTTCTCAGCCTCCAGAACTGTGAATCAATAAATTTCTGTTTATTATTAATTATCCAGTCTGTGGTATTCTGTTATAGCAGCACAAAATAAATGCTTGGTTTCTTGAAAAGAATGATAAAATTGATAAATCTATGTCAAGACTGATAAAGAAAAAAAATTAAAGAAAGCCCAATTGTCAATATCAGAAACATGAAAGGGGATATTGCTATAGATCTTATGAACATTAAAAGGTATGATGTTTTGAAGTCATTTTAACCAATGCACTTGAAAATTTAAATGAAGTAGACAAATTCCTAGAAAAACAGTTAACACATACTCGAGAAAAAGTAATATTAAATTTATCAAAGTAATTAAATCCATAAATAAAAGTCTTCCTACAATGAAAACTCCAAAGCCAAATGTATTCACTATTGAATTCTATGAGACATTTGAGAAATAAATAATGTTAGTTTTAGACAAAAATATTCCAGAGAATAAAAAAAGTGGTGACATTTCTCAACTCATTTTATGAAAGCAGTTAACTTTCATACCAAATCCTGTTAAGAACATGGTAAGAAGTGACAATTACAGAGCAATCTTTTAAAATAAATATAGATGTAAAATTTCTAGTGAGATATTACAAAACCAAAATCAGAAATACATAAATATGATAATACCCAAGACCAAGCTGATATTATTTCAGGAATGCAAGGTTCATTTGACATTTGAAAGTCACTTAATGTAATATGTTAACAGAAAAATGAGAAAGATGATGTGATCATTTCCATATATGCAGAAAAAACATTTGATGAAGTAGAATGCTGATTTATAATTTCAAAATCTTAGTAAAATACAAAAGGATATGAAGTCTTCTAATCTGATAAACGTTGCCTACAAAAACAAACCAATAGCAAACATATTGCTTAGCGAGTAATTAAAAGCTTTTCCTTTAGGCTGGGAACAAAATGAGATGACTTTTTATTTCTGTTCAATATTGTACCAGTGGTTTTATCTGGTGCAAAAAGCAGGAAAATAATAAAAGAGATAGTAAATAGAAAGTAAGAAATTAAACTAGCATTATTTGCAAGCATCATGATTATGTACATAAAAATCCACAAGAATCAGTGATATAACTATTATACTTAATAAATAAATTTAGCAAGGTCACTGGATATAAGGTCAATATACAAAAATACATTGGTTTTGCCATTACCACCAAAATGCCATTCAAAAGCGAAATTTAAAGAATGATATCTTATAAAAAGACACTGAAAATAAGAAATATTTCAGAATAAATCCAGTAAAAGCTTTTGAAAATACCTACATATATCATGTTTATGAATTGGAAAGTTTGATATTATAAAGAGGTCTTATTATATTAAGGATTATTATAGTAAATGATTATATAATGATATAATTATTATATTATATAAGGATTATTACATTATATTAATTAAATCCTGGTTGATTTTTTTCTTTTGGTGGAAGTTGACGAGCTGATTATAACATCGTTATGAAAAGGAAAATGGGCAAATTAAGCCATAGGTACCCTTAAGAATGAAAGCAATGTTACATTACTAGATATATTAGATATCAAAACCCACAAAGCTACATTATCAAGATAATATGATCTTGGCACAAGAATGAACAAGTAGACCAATGAAACAAAAGTCCTGAAACTGACCCATATATAAAAGTTTGAGATTTCAAAGTGAGAAAGTTTATATTTTTCAATAAATATTATCATTCAGTTTAATATCATTATAGAAAAATATTAAAGTTGGTCCCTAGCTCACACTGTACAGAGCAATTAATACCAGATTGTAGATCTCAATGTGAAAGGTAAAAATATAAAGCTCTGGAATATGACATAGATTAATATCTTCATGACCATAGGAAATGAAAAAGTTTCTTAAACAGTACTGATAAACACAAGCCATGAAGAAAAATATTGATAAATTTAGATTACATATAAATAGAACCTATTTTACTTATAGAGCCTACATAAATATGGCCTATTCATCAGAAGACACTGTTGAAAGAGAATAAAGGTAATCCATAACTAAAAGATATGTGCAATCAAATATATCAACAAAAGTTTCCTATCATTGTATATAAAAACTTCTACAGATTAATAAAATAATTACAGGCAACTCAACAGAAACATAGGAAAAATGAACAAGCTCCTCATTAAAGACGATCTACCATATGAAAAGTACTCAATTTTATTATTCATTAAGAAAATAAAAACTTAAATCCATCATGATACACTTCTATACACCTACCAGAATGGCTAAAATCACAAAAATTAGCATTACCAAATGGGATTGAAGTGTTGTCAGGATATTGACAAGGAGAATATAATGGAACACTGGTCACTGTTGGTGGGAGTATGAATGAGTTCAACAGCTTTGAAAAACTATTTGGCAGTATCTAGTAAAGTTGAACATATGCACACTCTATAAACCAGTAATTCTCTCCTAGTTTTTGCAACAGAAATGTATCCATTTCTGCACCAAAAGATGTGTACAAGTATGTTTTTAACAGTATTATTCTTAATAAATAAAAACTAAGAACAATCCAAATGTTAATCAGTGGCAGATTGGATAAATACTCATACACATATAATGAATATCCTCTGACTATTAAAAATCTTTTGAATTTCAAGGTTTCCTACTCCCTACTCCTACTTCTACTTCAAAGTTGTATATGTAGTTCTTTGTGTATGAATGGAGTGCCTTTGGGGGGTCTAAAGCTTTCAAGGTGTTATCAGAGGCATTTATGGCCCCAAGTGGGCTAACTTCTTTCTCATGGGCTGATCCAGTTAACACTAACCAGTGTTTTTCAAAGACGACTGTTGAGTTTTTTAAAGATGTTCCAGGCTCCAATATGTTTAGGAAACACTGTTAAACATAACTCTTCTTTTGGTAATTAGTATACTTAAGGCTTTTATAGGGACACTGCTGTGAAGACTCTGGTACATACAGGTTGAGTACTTCTTATCCAAAATGCTTGCCACCAAAAGTGTTTCAGATTTTGGATTTTTTTCAGATTTTGGGTTTTTTCAGATGTTGGGTATTTGCATTATACCAGTTGAGCATCTCAAATCTGAAAATTCAAAAGTCTCCAATGAGTATTTCCTTTGAGCATCATATTAATTAGCACACAAAAATTTCATATTTTGGAGCATTTTGATTTTTGGATTTTTGGATTGGGGAGGTCAGCCTGTGTTATTTTAGTTATCTTAGTGTCCACAAACTAATTTGAAAAAGGAATTAGAATTTCCTTTCCTCAACTGTTTTTGTAAAAACATATTCGATATTCTAAAAGACTGCTTTTTTTTTTTGCAAAATATTTTGAAAAGCATGTATAACAATAATTCTGGGTGTGGGGCTATTCAATGAAAGACCATGTGAAAAATACATAAAAGAATTACATGATTACTCAATTCATTAATTAAACTGTTGAGAACAAAAAAATCAAGTATTAGACGAAATCACCTAGCTCTTGTTTATGAACAATTGACTCGATACTCTTCTGTATTTTTAAGAAATCCATTCTTGCCCTAATGTTTCCATAAGTTCCCAGAGGTTTATGTTTTCATGCACATTTCTGGGTCTGGGCTTCTTCCTCTACTGAACTCTCGATCTTATTCATGTTTCACCTCCCGAGAGTATTCCTCTGTTCTATTCAAAACTAGATGCGGCCCCTTGTTTTATGTCTCCTATTAGTGCGTACGGTAGAACATACTGATATTTGGGTTGACTGAGGAGTTTCAGGCATAGAAATGCAAAAAGTCTGAAAAATTATTTATTAGAGATCCTTGTTCTCAAAAGTAATCCAATCTGTTTGTCACTAAGAATCTTCTCACTGGCCCCCTTCTGCCAGAGGCCCCTGTTTTCTACCGCATAATTCTGACCATTGTCTCCCTTCCTACTCCCTTTTACTCAGAACCTCCCTCTGTTCCACATTTTCTGTTTTTATACTATGAAGAGTAGTTTAGTCATCACTTATCTCTTTCCATTTATAACCTAGGATCTCACTTTCTACACTAAAGGGTTTACTGAGCCTTGTTATAAATCAATTCCTGTTTACTGTTTTTATTTTTCTTCCTCATTAGTCAACAAGTATTTACTGAGCATCTCCCAAGTGCCAGGTTTGTTGGTATCAGTTTGACTTTTTATCTGAGTCATAGCTCTGTGCCCTTCCAGCTTGCTCTGTTCTGTTTCCCACCTCTGTAGGGAATATTTTACATGCACGTGCAAAGGTACGCATTTAAAAATGTTTTCCATGGGATACAACATTGTATTTGGGGATATAAATGGAAAATATGCTAAAAGGTTAGACAAAATTATACAGTCATAACATTTCTTGTGTAGATATTAAATCTTTAAGATGCAATAGCTCAAGCATATTTGACCCTAAGCACTTCACATCTGCTATCGTTTGGCCCATGAACATGTTAATTTTTTTCTAGACCATAAGATTGATGAAAGTGTTCTGTGTTTGTTACTTTATCCAATCTTCACTATCATGCATGCATATAGAAAGAGAAGGGGTACAAATAACTTCTTTCCATTTTTCATCTTTCTCATCCCTAAAATACGTAATTACAAAGTTATCTTTCACTCTAAAATTCTATGACTACTTTCATTTCATGAATTAGAAACGAAAGTAATGTGATATTCACTCATTCATTTGCTCTTTAACTTATCAAACATTGCAGAGTAATATACTTAGTCCAATCAGGAGCTATGCTAGGTAATAAATCATAAAATTAGAGAGGGTTAGAATCTGAGTCCAGAGTTTGTGACCTCTCTTCCCTCGCAATGGTGTCTTTACTTGTTTTTGACTGTATTTGTCACTAAAACAGAAGACAAAGCTCAAATCTAACAATGTATCCAGAAATTTGATTGATAACAACAGTTTTAACTCTGAGACCATTTTCATTTAAGAGTTTCATGCCTCTATAACTAGACTACTTCTATCCACCTGATTATCTGTTATTTTCTTTATTTATTTCAAAATTCCCTGAAAGACCTAACAGAAGTAAAGACCATTGAGCTAGGTTGAGCTTTACTTCATGGGAAGGAAGCATCTATGAGCCGAATTCTTTTCTAGAATAATGAAATTTCATGTGAGGCATTTGGTGTTCTGGGATTCAAAAAGGTTATCAGCCAAGCATTTATAATAAAAGTCCTCCCTGCTTTTCCCTAACATGCACTGGGAAGATGGGAGTGCTATCAGTTTGACATTTCTGTCAGAACTGGTATTTGAACCACAGGATGATTCTGACAAATGCCACTGCTGTCATTGGCTCAGTTTTAATTGCACCTGACTGACGCTTTCAACGGCAGCAAGCAGAAAACTTAATTAGTTGGAGTCCAGAGCATGTGCTGGCTGGAGGATTCCAAATAGTGTATGTGCTTTCAGCAGAGAAGAGACCATGTTTAAATCTACCAGCCATGACCGGGAGACTGGTTGGACAATTTTCAAAGCCTCCAAATATTATTAATCAATTTAAATTGCATTTGAGGGCACATTATATTTATATATTCTTTTCTCAAGTAACTCACTAGTATGTGGCAGTAGGTGAAATAAACAAATAAAAAAAGAAAATAAATGTGTATCTCTATTTCCACAAGGATTGGCAGAAGGTATATACACACAAATGCATTTATAAATTCAAGAAAACAACAAAGCAGAACAGTTGTAATGTTTCTATCACATCTTACGTTCTCAATGTTTGCCTTCAAGGTGTGGATGTGATTATACTTTTTACTTTACATTTCTATAAAAACATGCATTAGCAGGCTACAATTATCAAAATGCTAATATACTGTGTAATTAAAAATTAACGTAACTTTCACCTACTGGTTGGAGAAAAGTTTCCTTGCATTAAAAGAAGTAATTTCTTAGAATCACTCTTCTTTCATGCAGTATTTCCAGGATCCCATTTGCAGCTACTACAACTCACTGAGTAACTCAGGCCCAATTTACTGTACTTTCAAATTACGTGTGGGTTTGGGACTCATGTCTTCACTCACGCAGGTTAAACAATGCAGAAAGAGTTGTGCTGAATACTGGGTTTTGTCAAACATAAAGGATGATATTTTGCTTCATTTTATAAATAAAATATGACAATGCTTGGCAAGACTGACTGAACTTTTGTCTTGATGACTCAGCCAAGATTCAGGACTCTCCACTCTTGTCAGTTGTCTAGTTTGATTCTGCTGCCACTCTCATTGCTGCCTGTAAATCCAGTGACACCTCTGGAACAGAACATTACTGGAGCCTGATTGACTACTTGGGTAAAATAACAGCCCAAGGGGGCTTCTGCTTCTAAAGGAAGGCATGGCAGTGTCGGGCTTTAAAGTTTTCTCAGGAGGGTTCTTATAGGGATAGCTGTAAATTTCTCACTTTCAGAAATACTAAAATGCTACTACTTGGCCTAAGTTAACCTTGTTGTACCCTGGAGTTATTGGCCTTAGAACAATATCCAGGTGTACCCTTGCTGGGTTTTCTTAGCAACTTTGGAGAAGAATAAACCCTGGATTGAGTTGTTAGGCCCAGAAATATTAGTTGCCAAAAGTACAATTGCTACTATGTCTCGATATTTAGCAAAATTGTAGCTCATTTTAAGGGTTGTGGCAGTCTTTTTGAAGGCTGATGTGATTAAGAAGTACTTAGCTTTCATCACTGAATGCCTTCAAGGAATAGGAGTCTACACCTCTACTTTCTGGACTCTGATCAACCAAAGTACAGAATAAAGTTGATGATACTCTGTTTCTATCCCTTTGGAAATAAAATGGAATTAAAATTGGTACTTAAAATTAAATGAGGTGAGGTTCCACGTATCAAGTAAATATAAAGTATTTAAAAGACAATACTACAGATGACAGAAAAGTGCAAAAATTGTTCCTGACGTGAATAATTCACCAACTCTCGGATGGTATAAGTCACCTACTAATGTGCATTACTCACCACTTAATAGTGGCTGTATCTGAAGAAATATGGAAATTGGAATATTTTAATAACTTTCTATATGAAAGATGATGAGACTGCCTAAATGATTAAGAGGAAGATATGTTATAATGAACTAAAGCCACTCGAGTGTAAGGTAATTTTAATTCAAATCTCCATCTGCTTATGTATAATTAAGACTCATTTAACAAGTTAATGCCTAACAGAGAGAACTGATAAGTTTGGTATTAAAGATCTTAAGAGAAGTATATTAAATTGCCAGGGTTGAACTGGTCTTTAGTTTTAATTTCTTACACCTGAATCTTGATATAAATTTCAGGGTCCACTTCTTTATCTTCACCATTCATTTAAGCACGAAGCCAAAGCAAAAGAGGAGGGAAAACTGAATATCCTTTTTATATTTTAATTTTGGAGATCCCATCCTGTCTAAGGTGTGACAGCATCTTGACTGATATTAATATTTATAAACTTCATATTTCTCGCTGTATAGCATCTATATGCCATTATGCTGGTGATTTCAAAGGCACAAAAATATTCATGCACAGTTGAGATTGGCAGCAGGGTTAAATAACCTCAGAAAATAAGCAGAAAGCCTTTAAAATGCCAAAAAGGACTGTTTTGATCTCTAGTGAATTTCATGAGCTTGTTGACTGCCAAACTTCCTACTCCATTTTTTTCCACAGTTTCTGCCAAAGATGGTCCAGCCATCATAAATATGGTGTCAACCTTTTTGTCTTTTAGCATAAAAATTTAATTCCCAGCATATGACTCCTCATTTAGGAAGATGAATGGGTCTTTCTTTACATACTTTTTAACATTTTCAGGACTAAATTCAAACAGGAGATTTGAGAATTCATGCAGTCTTCCCAGCAAGATTCTCACTAGGAAGAGTTTTCAGCCATGACTGGGTAAGGCCAATACTGTGGGACCACAGAGTTGAACCCAGTGTTCTTGCTCCTTGTCAGCCATCACATATGGCTTGTGTCAGCTCACCTAGAAGTGACAATTTCTTAAGACATAATTTTCAAAAATCACAGATTAAATAATTGAAACTTTTTGTGTCCTCTTGAGAAATTCCTAGCTCTAATCATCTTCTAAAATGCATTGTCTGATTCATTTCTTATTAAAAGCTGGAAAGTGTCCTATTGCTTGACTGCTTTATTTTACTAATCCCGAAAGATAAAGTAATTTTTGAAAGTTTACAGAGTTAGTAAAGAGCTGGGTCTAGTTTTTTTGATTACCAGTTCAGCATTCTTCCCTTATCATACTGCCTCTTAGATTTACCATATATAATATACATACACACATATACTATTTATACAAATATATATGTATGTTTTCATATATATGGTGTATTCATCCTCACACTATTGAAGTATCCATATATTAACAGTTTCTCATTTTGTTTCTTAGCCCACTTAGAAATATACCTTGGAAAGAAAGTAAATATTTGCTAGAACTTTCAAACTATGTAGGAAAGCAAAACCCACAAAAATTCTGGTTACTCTGGGAAGTGTATACTGTCTTTTTTTTTTTTTTTTTTTCCTAGAAAGTGTCTGGAAAGCAGGGTCTCCAGCGAGTTTCATCCACCAAATTATTGCAAAATTTGACAACCCTTCATGGTCAACAGTTCCATTCGCTTCCAAATTGCTCCCTCAATAATAGGGCTCCTTTGATGTTTATACTGCATCTGAGGACACTCCTCAAGGACAGTGAGGTTTTAGGCTTTAAAAAGGCACATATTTATTGTTTTCATAGAAATGGCCATTCTTGTGTAATGCTATTGGGAATGCAATTGTTAGTAAATTTCTGGAGGGTATTTTAGCAATACAATTCAAAAGTCTTATAAATGATCATATTCTTCGATCCAGCTGGCTTACTCCTGGTTATTTATCCAAAGGGAGTACTCAGATTAATATACATAGATACGTACACAAGTGTCTTTATTTCATCATTATTTATTATACCAACAGCAAACAACAAGAGAAAAGGGAAAAAAGGAAGTTGTTAAATAAGGCATGGATCCGTATAGTGGATATTCTAAACACTGAAAATGTTGCTTCATATACACATTTATTGTTATAGAAAGATATTTAAAATGTATTGTTAAATCCAACAATTGGGATATCATTTCTGTCATATGATTTGATTTTGTAGTAAAAATCATAAAAGTACATAGAAAAAGGTTTAATGGGACATTGTTTTAGGTGGATTCTTCTGGTTGTAGTGAATGGAGACTTCCCCAAGTTACTATAAGAATGGTGGCCCATGCAAATGAAGATAAGGGATCCAACACTCAGCTACTCCACATGTGAAATCAGAAGAAATTTCATTACGAGTCATTACCAAAAAAGCATGAACTTGCAATGATCAAGTTTTATGGAAAGAGAAAGTAGACAGTCACTCATGAGCTAGCGATGAGTTTTACTGTTTTGAGAATGTATGAATCCCAACTCTAGTTTTTCATTATTATGAAGACTCTCTTTTTCTGAGTATCTTTTGGTTTAAGCCTCAGCTAATAACTAACTGATTATCTCCCCAAAGCTCCAGTTCAAATTCCTAGCAGAATAAGGATGCAGAGATACGCAGAGTGATTTAATGGTCTTTGGGGACTTGGGCAGTGGGGGAGTGGGAGGAGGTGAGGGATAAAAGACTACATATTGGGTACAGTGTATACTGCTTGGGTGACTGGTGCACTCAGATCTCAAAATTCATCATTATATAATTCATCCAGTAACCAAAAGCCACCTGTACACCAAAAGCTACAAAAAAAATTGCTAGCAGATTTTTTATGATGTTTTTAGCATTTTTAATGTTAAATTGACAAATAAAAATTATATATGTTTATTATATACAATAGGTTATTTCGAAGTATGTATACACTGTGGAATTACTAAATCAAGCTGATTAACATATGCATTACTGCACATATTTATCTTTGTGGTAAGAACACTTAAAATCTACTTTTAGCAATTTTCCCAAATACGACACATTGTTCTTAACTATAGTTACCATGTTGTGCAATATCTAGTAAATTTGATTGCTTCTGCATGTCATTATTTGTTTGGGCAATGCTTTAATTCTAAGCCACTTCTTAAGAAGATGGCTGGCTGAAGTTCAGATAACCTTGGGTTAGATGCTTACCCTTTGGTCCAATCAACTATGGTTGATGATAGCATATGGTGACCTATGAAATAAACTACTGTGCTTAGAAAAGAAGTAAGCATGCTTTAGGCATTTTGAAGCTTAGCTTGTCCAGCATAGACACACTCTCAGATTGCCAGTGTTTATTTCTGATGCTCATAGATGGGTCTCTAAAAACACAAGACTTTTTTCCTAAAATATTTTTCCTCATAAACTTTACAGTGCCATCAAAAATAGTTATTACACTCCATATTCTTCGTAATCATCATTACTTCCTTACTGGGCAAGTGTAGCAAGTTAGAAACTATTTGGTTCCCTAAAATTTTTATTTTAACATATATTTAGCCCCAAGCAACCACAAGTGATGCGTTACATGCCCGCATTACTAAGGTCTCATTTTCTGTCTTCAAGGAGGTCATGATGTGTTCACACACAAACAAGAGAGTAATTTCATTCTAGAATCTTATCTGGGAGTCTGTTTACTGGGACCACTTCTAGTACCAACAAAAGTATTGGTTAGAGTCTTAGCAGAAGAACAAAAAATGCTTTAAATAAAATAGAAAGTGTAATGCAGGAAATCCATCAAGTATAATGAAGAATCTGAGAATGAGATAACACAGAAGTCAGAAATAGTGGGAAGCCATTTCCATCCTCAGGCAGTGTTACAGGCATTCGGGGGCCATGATTACCTGGTGGAATCTGGGAGCATGGTCTACCTGTCTGGCGGGAGCTGCAGCCTGAGGGAGATGCAGCTTCTGCAGGAGATGCTGCCCAGACAAGGAGGGGAGGGGCAGGAGGCAGACTGACAGTGGATCCAGTGAAGGTCGAGCTCACTGCCCATCCACTAAGGCCTTGGGAGGGGCTGGTCAATGTGTTCACATGTTCATATGATTTTTTTTTTTTTTTTTTTGAGATGGAGTCTTGCTCCGTTGCCCAGGCTGGAGTGCAGTGGCGCAATCTTGGCTCACTGCAAGCTCCGCCTCCCAGGTTCACGCCATTCTCCTGCCTCAGCCTCCTGAGTAGCTGGGACTACAGGCGCCCGCCACCATGCCGGGCTAATTTTTTTTGTATTTTTAGTAGAAACAGGGTTTCACCATGTTAGCCAGGATGGTCTCAATCTCCTGACCTCAGGTGATCCACCTGCCTCGGCCTCCCAAAGTGCTGGGATTACAGGCGTGAGCCACCGCGCCCGGCTACATGTTCATATGATTTTATAAAATGTGTTAAATTAAGACATTGCAACTGTGATCAGTTAAGACTGCTGCCTGTTTCTACTTGACTTCTTTTTTCATTTTTCCCCATGCCAGCTGTTGATGGGATGGCCATGGACATTTTGAGGCACAAATTAAACAGAAGATAAGCTGAGTATAGATTTATTTTTGGTTTATTGAGTAATATTATGTGTTTTATGGTTACTTATGTATATAATTAGTTTATTTCTAGCTTTTCTGGAATATTCATATAAATAGTTTTTAGGAATCCCCCTCTTCTCTAACTTATCTGAAGACATTATACAGAAGAGAAGAGTTAGAGCTGGCAGTGATAGTTATAAGTGATGGAGGAGAAACAAGGTTTAAAATGTACAGAGTTAGAAACTAATCTGGGGTAGGTTTTCTTCAGTTTTTCAGCTCAGGTAAAGAAGAAACTCGAAAGAGGCTCTCCCCAAATTTATACAATCCTACAAATTTACTTGACATTATGAATAATGAGTTGAGAAGATGAAATATTTTAAACTGTCAGTAGTCAAATACATTTTTATGAACAATGATAAAGGAAAGACTAAATTATACTTTCATTGTCTTTATACAAAGATCACAAAATAATTGTCATATAAAGAGATGATCAAAGAGTAGGCAGTCAAAAACCCAGGAGGAATAGATATTAAAAAGGTATGCTTGGTAGATAATTAATAAAAATAGTAATTTAAAAGTTTTCTCAGTTGATATTTGTAAGCTAGTCAAAATGTACAGGTAGGTGTTTGCTAAATAACTATTTACTTTTGTGCCTAATTTTGAATTCATAATTTTTAAATGAATTTTTCTCTGTTAGGACTCCCAAGTGTTTAAGCCACAGATCTGACGAAACCTAGCTACAGGTACAAATGCCATGGCTTTTCCTTCCTCTTGTTCCCCATTCTCTTTTCATTGACACCTATTGAGTGAGTTCAGCTGTTAGGAGAGATTGAGACACAGATCAGAGGAATAAGCCTAGCAGAGGAAGAAAGATGCAGCAGAGAGCAAACAAGCTGAAAATAGCCCAGGAAGGAAGTAGGAGAAAAAGGTCTTTCCATTCTCTGCTGGTGGGAGTTGAAATCATGCCACCTCTGTGGAGAGTCATATTTATGATAGTAATAATCAAAATCACAAATGTGCATGTGCTTGGACCCTGCAGTTCTACCTCTGGAAACTTATCTGAGTTATACTCATAAGTGAAAGGACATACGTATAAGGTTATTCATTGAAGCCTTGAATCTGAAGGCCATTATTTTAAGTGAAACAACGCAGACACAGAAAGACAAATACCACATGTCCTCACTTATAAGTGGGCACTAAACAATGTGTACCCATGGACACGGGGTGTAGAATGACAGACGATGAAAACTCAGAAGGGTGCGGATAGGGAGGGATGAGAAATCAATGGGTACAATGTACATTATTTGGATGATGGACACTGTAAAAGCAATAGCTAAATGGTAGAGACAATCAGAATATCCCTACATTGGTGATAGATTAATACCTTTATGGTACATCAATACAATGGAATACTATTTCCTTTAAAAAGAAGGAAAAATGAAAGAGGAGATTCTTTATGGAAAAATGTGGGATGATATTGAGTAAAAAAAGGGTTGTTTGGTTTTTCTACCATTGATATAAATAAGGATCATAATCACTCAGCTGAGATTCTAAAATTCATAAATCTCTGAAAGCAATTTTTTTTCCGTAAATAATTGGATTGCAAAACATGGCCCGAACTTACATGGGGCTATTTATATTTAAATATTCATATGTTTCACAGAAGAAATATTTATCTATTTGATTATTGAGTGCTTCCCCAGATGCTACTGAGAATGTTTCTAAAACTCATCCTCTAGACTTGACAATGGCTTCAGAAGAGCTGGGAGGACATTTGACAGGGATGCTCTTGCCTTCTCCTCTTAACAAAGCAGAGAGGTGACTTTGAAAACCAGAAACCTTATAGAAGCAGGGTGGGGCCCAGGACAATGAAGGACCATAACAATTTGATGCACCCTTTACCTCCTTGACACTCAGCAGCTTTCTGTTCACTGCTTCGCTCCTGGTGGCCTGGCCTTTATGGCCATGGAGGAACCTAGTTGAAAGAGAACACCAGTGGATGGTACTATTAGTGCCCTCTACAGGTATTCCTCCAAGCCCTGTCTCCTATTCTGATCTCTGTATCTTTTAATTGCTCATTAGACATCTCTACCTGGACTGTCCTATTGGCATCTTTAAAACAACATGCCTAAGACTGAATAGTTCACCTTCTCTTGCTAAGCTCATTCTGCTTGTGGTACTGTCATTTACTCAGATCCCCAACCAGTAGCCTTGAAATCATCCTCAAAACCTTCCTCCATCTGCTCTCTCCCATTCTATGTCCAGTCAGTCCCCAGAACCTGACTATTCTACTTCCTTAATAAAGTTGCTAGATAAAATACATAACGCCAACTCCAAATAAACAAAAATTAACTGTATTATTAAGTATGTCCCCAATATGCGTTTACATTAGAAACATATTCAGTTGTTCTGAGATTCAAATTTAACTGGTCATCTTGTAATTTTATGTACTCAATCTTCCACCTTAGTCCTTAATACCTGTCAAATCTGTTCCTCCCTGTGCACCCATCAGTCCCTTGTTCAAGCCCTTCACTCTTCTCTTCTGGATCACCAAAACTACCTCCTCCTAACTGGTTGTTGTCCTTCTAAATGTTTTCCCACCCAAAACAAGGTCTAAATTGCTGATAGACTGATCTGTGTCCAACATAAATTTGATCACATTCACTCCCCTGCTTTTTTGCATATGACACCCTTCATGACCTGGCTTCTGCCTACCTCTCCCAGTCTCCTCCTAACTTAAATTTCAGTCAGACTTTGTGCAACAAATTGTAGAACTGATTATATAGATTGTAGAATTGATAGGAACTTGTCAGTTCAGTGAGTCATTACTGAAGGCTGTGAAGCCAAGGAAGGCTTCCCAGAGATGAGAGCCCATGCCAAGCCTTCACTCCTCTCAACCCTCCTGAGCTCCTCAGGGGCTCTGTCACGCTGCACTTTATACACTCTGCTTTATACAGTTAGATTTCTTTTCATGTGCCCATCATTCATCTCCCCAAGATAACAAGTTTATTAATGACCCATGTAAAGCATCTAACACATTAAGCATCACAGACTTTCACATTTCCTTGTCTTAACTGTTTTGTACTATTTCTATTGCTTTGTGTATTTCACATAGCACATTTCAATACTTATTGATTTCCTGATTAGTATTCTGTTTCAAAAACGAAGTCAGACTAAGTTAAATGGACACAAAGCTGCTCTACTCACTGACCCTACCATAATGAGAACACCAGGCTAGGGCTGGTTTTTTGACACATTTGAGTAGACTTCGCTTCCCAGAGCACCTCACAAATATTCCAGGATATGTTGAGAAGTTGCATCCCATTCAATCTATTCTCGTCACCATCAGAAAGGTAAAGTTGAGTAAATGTCTCATTTTATCAAACTTCTTGTTTAGATATGATTGGGGATTGAATATCCAGCATTGACTCTCCCCCTGCCCCCCATTAAAACTTTGAGGATCCTAGAGAGTCCTGAAAATGTACATCCCAGAGGTTCTTTACAATGTCACATTTCTGCTCATGGGCATGACAGGCAGCACAATAGAATGGAGCCATAATAAATGGAAGCAGAATGCCATTATGTACTGGTTAGGTCTAGAAAAACTATCATAGGCTCAATGACTGATCAATAACAAAATCTAGCATCATCATTCCCTACCATAAGCAACATACAAATCAAAAAATAGGATGGCTGACAAAGTAGGAGCAAATGAAGATGGTCAGCACGTGTTTGATGACACAGGGAAAATGGGATTAGTGCCTGGATTTCTGTGTGCCTGGACTTCTGTTTGAAGCAGAGCTGATGACAAGCAGACAAGCTGCTGATGTTCATTCTTAATTCATGTGGAGGCAGTGAGTTGTGGAAAGAAGAAAAATTTTGAGGCACACCATAGTGAACCATTGCTTAGTAGCTGTCGAATTCGTGGCAGATGACAAAAATTATATTAGACATATTTTGCTCATCTGTACATAAAAACAATAGCTAACATATATTGAGTGCCCACCCTGTGCCAATACTTATCTAGCTTCTTTACATAGATTAACCCATTTAATTCTCAGACTATGAAAAAGGCTATAATTATCTCCACTGTACTGAGCATCAGTTAAGCCACATGCCTAAGAATGCAAACTTAGTGACAGAGCTGGAAAAGGATAATTAAGTAGTGGATATTAATAAGTTAAAAGCATGTAGTACGATAATGAATAACAAGCGGGACCCTAGTTTATAGATATCTCCTGAACCCAGGAGCAATGTTTGTTGGAAGACAACACTGTTGGCTGGGGTATGTGAAAGATGCATGACTCCCCAAATCCTGAGCAGCTGCTGTTTGGTAAAATGGAAGAAATGCCAGAAGAACAAATGTAGCAGTGGTACTACTGTGCAACACGCTCTACTCATGCTAGACACTATAGAAAAAATATATTAGGCGCTACTGGGTGGAAAGCCAAGTGAGTGATAAGAAAATACCACGTATAAGTGTTCAGAAATGAGTGGCTGTTAGCAAGACTTAGGGAAAATCTCCTGGAGGGATGAGAAGGCATGAAATGAACATCAAGGGAAGGATGGACACAGAGACAGGAGAAGGGTTTCTTTAGCATGCAAAGCACGAAGAGCAAAGAGTGGTGCCAGAAATGAGAATGTCATGTTCGAAAAACTGCAGGGAGTCCAGAGCAGAGGCATAGTGGGACCTAAAAGTAGCACAAAAATGTCCCCCAAATAATCAGCATTATGGTATCATTTACTCACTTCTATAAGGAGACTTTGCAAAACTTACAGTGTAAACTGGTCCTCTTCTGGCTAAAAAGAGCAGCACAACTTGAGTGGAAACAGCAGAACAATAAACAAAATACCAAAGACAAAAAACATCAACAAAAACCTCTCGAAGCAACAGTCTGGTTTCTCTTCGGATTTTACTAAAATATCCTGAAACACTCCTCAGTAGGTGACCTGTCTCGGTCAGTTACTTTTGTCAGTAGCTTCCTGTAGTTACTGTTTACTGAAATTTTGAAACCATGGCTTGCATAGTTAACAGGAATGACTGATTTGTTTTATCTAAATTTTATGTCCTTTGGAGGATATTCAAAGACTTTGGACTACTTCCAAAGACATACATTTCAGAAAATAATAAAATAATACTCAAGAGAAGATGAAAACTTCAGATAAGAGGGAAATAATTTGCTGGGAAAATGTTTTTTCTTACTTTTTTTTTTCAGAAAAAGTGAATTAATTGATGAGCCTGTTGCAGTGTTCAACTTAGAAAATTAATATAAATTATTTGATAATATGTATATAATATTAACAGTATATTAATAGAATTAAAATTGTAGCAGAAATTAATTAATGATAGAAAATAAATTAATAGAATAGAAAATTTAATTAACTTTTAATGAAAATTTAAAGAATACTGGCTGGGCATGGTGGCTCATGCCTCCCAAAGTAATATCACTCATATTACTTTGCCTCCCAAAGTAATATCAGCACTTTGGGAGGCCCAGGTGGGAGGATTATTTGAGGCCAATCAAATTGGTTCAAGATCAGTCTGGGCAATACAGTGAGAGCCATATCTCTACAAAAAATAAAAAAAAATTTAGTCAGGTATGGTGGCACATGCCTACATTCCCAACTACTCAGGGTGTTGAGTCAGGAAGGTCATGTAAGTCTAAGAGTCTGAGGTTGCAGTGAGCTATGATTGCACCACTGCACTCCAGCCTGGGCAACAGATCAAGACCCTGTCTCTGAAAAATGAATACAAAAATGTTAGTTTGAAGGAGCACCAAATTAGTCATCTACTCAAGGCAGGTTTCTCAAGGTCTCAGTTGGAAGTCTTCTTGAAGAGAAGTGTGAGGTCAGATGGAAAAATAGGTTGAGTTTAAATGATGGAAATCCTAAAATGACCATCTCAGGTTCTCAGCTTTTGTCTGATATTTAGGAAAAGACCTCTGAAGGTATCTGAGCACAATGAGGAAGGTGATGTTTAGGAGGGCAAGTGTTGTGGCTATATATAGGTAGACTGGAAAGGGGTACAGGGAGAACAGTTAAGGACCTGCTGAAGTAATTAGGCATGAGACAGTGACAGTCTAGCCTATGGGTGATTGAAGCCTATTAGAAACAATCTAACACACTTTGAAGAGAAATTAACAATGCTTTTCATTATAACTGACCAGCTAAATGAGAAATCCAACAAGGCTCAGGTGGTAAGCATGAGAGACTAGGGGAACAGTAATGTCATGACAAAATGAGGAATTTGAAGCTTAGAGGAGAGGCTCACCGGAGGGATAGACAGATGAGTTTAGGTGGCAGATTGAGACACAACAAGAAGACATGGATTAATTCAATATGTAGGTGGAAAGGCTATGTGAGAGAAGGCTTTCCCTCACCCACAATATGTGTTCATAAAGAGACAGTCTACACAAAATATGATGCCAACGATAGGCTTCTTCATGGCACACAATGAAGAAATACTCATTGAACATACATTGCTTTCTGTCCCCTTATGTCCTTCACATATGGATCTGTGGACCTAGAAAAAACTGAGGTATGTCTTAAACAACAAAGAATTTATTTGAGCCAAATTTGAATCACTGCAGCCCAGGAAATGCTTCCAAGTTACTTTGTGAAGTGCCCTGGAGAACAAAAGAGATGCTGGAGCTTTTAAAGAAAAAAGGATGAATCAGGAGAAGGGGAGATTACAAAAGTTGTTTTTCAACTGCTACAATTGGTGTGATTGTATCTAAAGGGACTGATTTTAACAGTTAAAAAGGCCGCCTGTGGTAAGGGACCTTCCAGAGCTCAGCAGGAAGCAGTCAGCAGATGCTTTGGCCATTGTTCAGCCAGGAAGTTGTGACCTCCATCCAAGGCCTACCTGAGGTTCAAGCTAAAATGGCCTCCTGGCTCCATTTTAGATTCTTTGATTAACCTGTTGTCATTTTCCTTCTTCAGATCCTAACACCAATTTCTGTCACATCTTGAGTATAAAAAGCAATAATAAATATGAAATTTCATAAGCCCAAGTAAAATATCTCTCCTCTTTACATTCACGTATTTCTTCTGAACTGGAATAAAATATCCCGCATATAACCAATTATTTTTCTTTGCCGAGCAACAGATTTATTATTCATTTATGTGAAAAAAGTTTAGCACAAAGATATGTCATGTAGAAAGATAAAGCATGACACTTTTTATATTTTCACTGATTTTTTAAAAAGAGACATTTCTCAACTTGTAGAACTATATAAACACAGACATGAAAGACACCAACATCACATTTTTAAACAATTGGCAAGCACATTGGGCCTTAATAAAAATAAAATTAAACTGGTAATTTTGGAAACTGCATACTGTGAGATGTGTACATGTTTCTTCTGGAAAAATCTACATGTTGGTTCCTAATGAAGATTATCTATTGGAGTAATTCAAAGGCAATGAATATTTCAACCTAGTTGTGTCAAGAGGAGAAACAATAATGACAGGCATTAGATCTGGAAAGAACTGAGCACTTAAGATAGACAGGCATTCTTACGTGATTCAAAAGTTAACTCTAGGTGCTCAAAAGTTAACCCTCTAGGTGCTCTGGGGGCAGTCTTATTCACTGGATTAACAATAGCTCAAATTACAAGTGATGAAATTTTCAGTTGCCTTAGGTTGCTATTACTATCACTATCTTAAAGTTTTTGAGTCCAGCTTTTCATTATATATAAATAAGATTAGTTTCTTTTCATCTGTGTGATAGCCCTTCAAAAGACAAGAACTTGAAAGGGTAGAAGAGCAAGGAAAACAGTAACAAAAGGACGAATATGTGGAGGAGAGAGATAAATGCATAAAATAATTAGCTCAACTAAAATTTATTATTATTCAAATGGCATCCTACCAGCTTACAAAGACAGAGGGGGGTCATGAGGGCTTTCCTCTAGGAACTTCAAATCTATGCAGGGAGACAATAAGTTCTATGCATGTATGTGATTCAATAACAAAAGAATACAATTTCCAAGGTGAAGCAATAGGCATGATAGTATATGTCAAATAGCTGAGAAAGTCTGATGTCATTAAAAGAGTCTCCAAAAAGGAAATGTATGTGATCCCATGCCAAGGGAGGTGTAGGATTTGTCACAGAAACCCCAGACAGGACGATAGCATAGGATAACCTGAGTGGAAATGATTAGGCTGTTAAGGAGTCAGGAGTAACTCAGAGAAGATCTAAATAGAAAGAGCAATAGGCAAGGCCCACAAGTTAATGGAGGGCCATAGGAGTCTGATTCTAGAGCTCCTAGGAAGCCACTGTAGGTTTTTAAATGGGAAAGTAGCTTCAGAAATAAGCAGACGTTGTGTATCTATTATGTTAAAACAATCTGCTAAGTTGAATGAAAATTTGATCAAACTCATGTTTGCATGTACATAGTTTGATCTGGCCTTTCACTTTGGAGGTATGATGATGGATATGCAATATAGTTCATATGTTTATATGGTGAAAAGTTAGATTTAAAAAATTTATCTAGTCATCTAATAATCTTACCTTTTAATAAACTGACATATGAAGCATTTATACTTGACTATGCTGAGGATTTTGCAAATATGGTTCCCTAAAATTATTTATAAATTATTAAAATTTATTTATCAACTAAATACACATAGCACTACGGACTGAATTGTGTTCCTCCAAAATTCATATGTTGAAACCCTAACCCCTAGTGTGTTTGACCTTGACTCTTTCAGTCTTCAGAACTATGAGAAATTGATGCCCAGCACAGTGGTTCACACCTGTAATCTCAGCACTTTGGAAGGCCTCAGTAGGAGGATTGCTTGAATCCAGGAGTTCAAGACTAGCCTGGCAACAAAGTGAGACCACCATTTAAAAAAAAAAAAACTATGAGAAATAAATTCCTGTTGTTTAAGTATGGCATTATGTTATGATAGCCAGAGCAGACTAACATACATTGCAGCATTATAAACAATCTCAGACACTTCACTGATATTCTCTCTCCATGGCATTCTTTAAATTTTTCTTGGTTTTACCTTAAAAGTGGGTGGCAGGCAACGGGAACATGAACTAATGGCTATTGAATGTTGAGTTAGCATCTGTTAGATGCTATACATATATTATCGAATTTAATCCTGGTAGGCATATGTGACACAGTGATCTATAGGGAATGTTTCAATACAACTTTATTGGAAACAAGTGATAGAAAATGTGCACATTTTATAATCCACAATTAGGCGTCTTCTAAATAGTATACACATATAACTACTTTATAACTGTCAACCACTGTGGACAAGGAAAATAAAACACTCCTTGATAATTTTTCTGAAGGATAATCAATAATTTATTTCTCTTTAATTGTCACAATTACCATAATTATCTAGCTACATGACCAATGTCACTACATATCACAGGAAGATTGTCCACCTACACTTTACTGAGACAAAGACAATGGCCATTTATGTGTTAAATGTACAATGGGATGTTAACACCATTTATGTGTTAAATGTACAATGGGATGTTAAAAGCAGTGGCTTTTATGTGTAAGACAAGATGTGGCACATGATTTATTACGAACAGGTTTGATTTAAAATGTATTATGCCAAGAAACAAGCATAGAAATATTTTGGCATTGAGTTATTATTAAAGTAGAAAATAAGTAAACTAGAGAAATAAATCCAGATTTTCACTTACATTAGATACATTGAAGTAGGAAATTAATTGGCTCCTCAGTATTTTTGTGCAAGTTTTTTTTGTTTTCTTTCCTTTTGTTTTTGATTTTTTATAAACGAGTAATATGAATATATCACAAGTAAAAGAAAGATCTCAGCCAAAAAGAAGGTACCAGTATATGAAAAACAAATGAAAAATTACCAGGTATTTTTTGCTTACAAAAAATTTAAACTATAAAGAGTCACAAAATATATATAAAAACGCCACATTGAACGAGGCAATCATACTCTACCGAAACTGGTAGCATCCTCCTAAAATCAGTCGCATGCATTCCATTCATTCGGTCATACAGTGGTCACCGACAAGAAGGCATTATGGACTCTCGTGCCATCTGGAGACTTGGCCCCATGGGTCATCAGTTCTTGGATTGTCATCCAGTTGTCCAAAATTTTCTTGTTTCTCTTTTTCATCATCTTTTTGTGACTCAGTTCAATGATATTGATCTCCTTCTTGCCCTCACTGCCGCTCTGAGGGCTCTCCTTGAGACACTCTAACCTGCTTCGCATCATGAACTCACGGCGACGGCGCTGCTCTTTGGCCCTAACCAGGTGCTGCTTTCTCTCCTCTTTGCTCCAGTAGCGCCCCATTTTCATCTCGCTCATGGTGTCATCGTCTGTGGTCATGCCACTCCGCTCTTCCTTGATCTTTAAGGCACGTTCCTTCAGGATTCGGTCTCGCACGGGTCTCTTTGTGATGTACCGTGTCCCGTCGCTCCTAATTTTCACCTTCCATTCCATCTTGGGCTCTGAACACTTCTGAGACTCCTTGCACATGCTCACCAAGCTGAGCTGACTCTGAGCATACTCGACTGCAGATTTCTGTTGAATTAACTGCATGTAGCTTTGATAATGCCGGGCGTGTGCTGGGATGTTTGCATATCTATATGAGGAGCTGTGGTAAGGAGAGAGGTAAGGGATGTGTTCGCTGACTGCCTTCTCTTGATCAGGAAGCTTGCTGCCTTCTAAAACCTTCTCCTTGCTTTCAGCGCTACAACCTTGCTCAGTGGTTTTGGCTTTGGTGGAGGTCGACTCTTTACTGCTCTGTCCGGAAGAGGACTGGGTGGCTGCCATTGTGCTTCTCAGGTTTTTCTTATTGGTGAGGTTGATCACCCTTGGAAGGGAACTGTCAGGGGAACGGTCTACAGTGAGCGGAGTACTTCTGCAGCTCTCAGCTGTGTTGTAAGCACTAGAACTGTCCTTGTCAGACTTTTCTGGATGCTCCATGATGTCATCTAGCTTTCCCCTTTGCATATCTATGCTGGTGTTATAATTCCGGAATCCTCCATCATGCAATGTCCAGATGTCTCCATACTGGTCTGTCACTTTCTGGAGCCTGTGAGCCTGCATGATATTCTGACACTCAAGCTCAATGTTTCTCAGTTCTTCATTAAGCAACTGTAGCTCATGCTCCACTCCCTCTTGCTCCCCTTGATTGCATTCAATTGTGCTGCTTGAGTAATACAGGTCATACTCTCCATGATTTCGAATCTTGCATTTGAGCTCCAAGAGCTGCCTGAATCTTTCACAGTCCTCATCTGGGTTGCCAATGCAGTCTGAGTCAATGTATTCACCAGATACGAGGCTCTCATTGTACTGAAGTTCAACACTTCCCAGAGTGTCTTGGCTCTGCCCCAGGTCTCTCTTGCTCTTCAAAGATGTGCTATTGGGGTCCTCGGCTGCATTCTCCTGCTCTGAGCTCTCATCATTTCGCAAGCTTTCATCTGTACGTCCTACTCCACTGTCCTTCTCATGGTTGTTGGATGAGGATGTTGCAGTGTCTGTTGTGCCTTCTTCTTCTTCTTGCTTTTTTGGCTAAGAAAATGATGTTGAAAGAACAAAGAAAATTAATGATTTTGGAAGACATTTGTTATTAAAAATCTTGTTTGAAAACCAATGTTTCCTGGCAAAGTTGCATCTCCTAGACAGTTGCTCTAATTTAGGGTCCATCACAATTTTAGAAATAAAGGAAATTAGCTCATGGCAGCTTTTTATACAATGAAATGAAGAAAACAAAACCCGCTTGAATATGGCTATGATATTCACATGGATATAAATAAGACAGAATGCATTCAAATAAGTGATTCTTTAGGTTTTCTCTTACTTGGGAAACTCGGGGTTGAAGGTGTATAAACAAAGTGACTGTATGAATTTCTGAGGTGATAATATGCAAAAGAATAAGACAGAATGTCTAAATAGTCTTCAGCAATATGGAGACCTGATGTTCAGAAGCCACAATCACCTTATGTTTTTCCCCTTAAGTACAGAGGAAACTTCACTGGCTTAGTAATATGCTGACAATGGGTAAGCCAAACATCACAGAGTTTTAGGACTAAGTTAACATTATGTACTGGAGCCTAGGACATTGCTATCTATAGGTGAGGATGCTCAATTCCAAAAGGATTCAGGTTATTAGTGGCAGATTCAGGTTATTAATGACAGATGGAGGCAAAGCTTCATCTTCCAGTGCCAGAATTTCTTATATGTCCAGGATGCCATATTCCTGAATACATGTGCTCTGACCTCAGTGCACTCTAAATCATGTTTCTCAAAAGCAACAACAATGTTTTAGGACTCATTGGGGTTGTATAAGATTTTTCTACTCTTAACCAGGGATTTTTTTTCAAAGATAAATTTTAGTCTATTGAGAATAAAAATTCAGTCCCATGAAAATTTGAACAGCACTGATTGCCAGACATGGGCATAATATCAAAAAAATTTTGACACTTATGTCACATATATGTATATAGGCATGCATGTATGTTTATGTAGTGTGTGTGTGTGTGTGTGTGTGTGTGTGTGAGAGAGAGAGAGAGAGAGAGAGAGAGAGAGAGAGAGAGAGACTCTGGTAATTTTTGGCTTTCATGTAAAACAATTAACTGTAACTGTCCTAATAAGATGCATGTGTAGTTCTTTCTCTGTGAATATGGTAAAGTTACTTTCACCTCTATCAGTCATCATATGATAATCTATAAGGCAGTTTCTAGGTTATATCTGCCTTATGCCTAAGTTTATTCACTATATATATATATAGATAGATAGATAGGTATAGATATAGCTCCATCCCTCTAGAAGATGTAATTACACAATTAAATATAATCAAGCCAACAGCTAGTGCTAAAGAAGGATAGAACGGGTGACAAAAGATATTCTAAAAGAAGTCTAAAAAGGTCTCTCTAGATAATTGTTATTTTGTTCCACAAAAGTAGTGGCAGGATAAAAAGTAACAATATCAAGAGGAGAGAACATAACCATGTATCAGCTTTTCTATGACTCTCAATCTTTCTTTCCCTGGAACATGTTCCTTCATTTGTTGAAAACATACTGAGATTTATCTTAAATGTCTTATTGATTAAAAAATTATAATAAGTAACTGTAACGAACAATGGGAAGCTTGCTGCATCCCTAGGCTGTGACTTATAAGGTGACAATAGTATTTAATATGGCAATGTCTTTATACTACACCATATAACTCTCAAAGAATGTTATTGATACTGGGCATTTGAATTTATATATCGTGTTATTTATAATTATATTTTTCTAATATCTTGTCATGAGCTGAAAAATACAAGAAGACTAGTAATTTTTTTCTTATTTTACATGCAGATGACATAATAATGACAAATTATGCTATGGGAGATGTTGCACAATGTAACGGCATTCATAAGACCAAACATACTGTGTAAAATGAAACTTTCCATAAAGTAGGTTCACATATGGGTAGGTATTTTATTTTTTCAATTGAATATCCCCTTTCCCTTGTTATTGGTCTATGAACAACTGTGAAAATAAAATAGTTTTCTATTCTCAAACCTAGAATTCCTAGTTTCTAATGCAATGCTACTCTATCATTTATCATTTCCCTATGGAATTATTATAGTGACAGGCAATGTTTCTACCTAGACATTTCTAATGTAGTATTATTGTTTATAAGGGCAAAGGACTTTTAAAGGTTTCTGTACTTCTCACCATTTTTTAGTCTCATGGTGAAGAAAAAAATTCCACACAATGAGAATCTAACCTCAGAGGCATCTAGTGTTACCTCACGAGACCTAACATTTGTATTACCTCTGATGAGTAGGCAGCGTTTGACACCGTTGTCACTTTACCTGGACAGGATTTCTCCCTGCTTTCCTTATTCCAACATCCTCCTATCAATTCAGTATCAGGTCACATTTTGTATCTAAGAAAAAAAAAGCCTGGAGCAAGGACTTTCTTGCTTGTAACCAGCAGCTGCCACCAAAAATATCTTTATTTTTGGCCAGTGTTGAAGTTATACATAAAAATTTTAATCTGCCCTACCTATATTGAAAGACAGTCACCACAGTAGCGATATTACTTGTGAGCATGAAATTCTGTTTGTGGAGTGGCCAAACTCCACATAATGAGCACATGAGTATATCACATATGACTATGTTGATGCTATAGTGTGCAATCTAATTATTTATTTAATATGTGGACATGTGCACACACATACACATTTCTGTTATGGGATGTTAGCAAGCTGAATATTTCATTATTCAACATGGTAAAGTGATAGAATGTTTGTGCTGCAAGTTTCTAAGCCTGTCAAGATTTTCAAAAAAATTATCATCTTTTAAGATGTGTTAAGAATTAATGTTGAGGCCAGGTGCAGTGGCTCATGCCTGCAATCCCAACACTTTAGGAGGCTGAGGCTGGTGGAGCACTTGAGGTCAGGAGTTCGAGGCCAGCCTGGTCAACATGGTGAAACCCCATCTCTACTAAAAATACAAAAATTAGCTGGGTGTGGTGGTGGGATCCTGTAATCCCAGCACTTTAAGAAGCTGAGGCTGGTGGACCACTTGAGGTCAGGAGTTCGAGAACAGCCTGATCAACATGGTGAAACCTCATCTGTACTAAAAATACAAAAATTAGCTGAGCATGATGGCGTGCACTTATAGTCCCAGCTACTCAGGAGGCTGAGGCAGGAGAATCGCTTGAGCCCAGGAGGCAGAGGTTGCAGTGAGCTGAGATTGTGTCACTGCACTCCAGCCTGGGCGACAGAGTGAGACTCTATCTTAAAATAATAATAATAATAATGATAATAATAAGAATAGACAGGGCACGGTGGCTCATGCCTGTAATCCCAGAACTTTGGGAGGCCGAGGCAGGTGGATCACGAGGTCAGAGTTTAAGACCAGTCTGACCAACATGGTGAAACCCTGTCTCTATTAAAAATACAAAAATTAGCTGGGCATGGTGGTGGGCATCTGTAATCCCAGCTACTCAGGAGGCTGAGGCAGGAGAATCAATTGAACCCGGGAGGCGGAGGTTCCAGTGAGCTGAGATTGTGCCACTGCACTCCAGCCTGAGCGACAGAGCAAGATTCCGTATATATATATATAATAAAATACATATAATAATGTTGAGAATAGGAAGATAATTAAACAAATCAGTAAACTGAAAACAAAATTATATCAGGCAGATAAATGACATGAGTGTAACATAAAAAATCTAGAATACATTGAACTTGTTTTTGTAAAATGGGAAAAAGACAATAAAAATAATATACTAATCACACTGTGATCTTTTACTAGTTATGAATCCATTAAGGACAGCAGTTCTGCTCATTTTTCTTTTTATTCTCAGTTTCAAGTGGGGTACTTGGAACATATTAGGAGTTCAAAGTGTTTAGTTGAATGAATATGTGACTTCAAGGCAAAATGATGTTAATAATCTCAAACTATGCTATGAGAAATGTTGCACAAGTTATACTATGGGAAATGTGTCAACAGCAGCCATAAGACCAAGGATAATCTCTACGATTATTCAGAATATACAGGTGTAATCACGCCATCCAGTACGCAAATAAAACTGATGGCTTACATCATGTCATCTTCATCCTATAGTGATAGCCTAAGTATTCAAATAGATACATTAATATTTTAGAGTAAAAAAAATTACTTATTGGGGAAGCTACCTCAGTTTGTTTTCAGCTGGCATATTGATAAGCAACACACATTTTTTACTCTTAAATTTCTGCAATTAGTTTGAAGTAGTGCCTGGGTCAACATTTGAATACTACTGTACTGTATTAACAATTGTCCCCAAGCTTCCCAAACTGGATATATTCTTAATGGAAAAACATTTTATTTATTCCCTCTGCTTCATTTGAGATGATCATTTGCTCTAAAAAATTACCATGATAGAGATGATGGATTAAACCCTTTGATTTTGTTTTCATCTTCATTTATGGTTACACATTAAAAAAAGAACAAGCAACATATCAAATGATGTAGTTCAAATTGTTGGCCCTACCTGCTCCACCTCATTGGCAGTGGGCTGCATTGCTTCATTATGCTCTTCTTCCAACATCTCCAAGTTTAACTCCTCTAAGAATTCATTCCTTTCATCTTCCAGCCAGCCTTCATCCAGCTGCAAAAGAATACATTAGTACATTATATTATGTTAGTGAGAACTCATGTTAAAATAGAGTAAACTTAAATGGCCGGTGCCCGACGAGTTCCTTTTATCATAATGATTCTCTTCAGAATACCAGCCTCCCACAGTTCACCTCTCAGAAAGAAGAAAAGGTGATAAAAAAAAAAAAAAAGGACTCTTATGCCTTTTATCCTTTCCTGAAATGGGACTACAGATTTTCTCTCATAACCAAGTAAATCTCACAGCACAGAATATTACCTTCTTTCAAAATGTATGAAAAGCATCCTGCATAATCCACAGCTGTCATGCTCATTACCTCCAACAGTCCCGTGTTAAAAGGACTGCCATGCTACTAATTGGGCTATGAGACAATTGGGCTGTTTTCTTTAACAACAACCCCCAACGAGACTGCACACAAAGTTCCCCCCATACGCTCGTGCTATCCTCATCCTGCTTTTTTCTTTTTAGGTGGGCTCCCATGTCAACAAGATGGCTGCTTGCCACAAAAGAATGTACAGAAGACATTTATTTTGTCTGTGAAGAAAGGAAAATTCTAAGTTATTCTTCTCAAGGAAAGGAAAGAAAAGCAATATTACTCCATGTCTATTTTAATTTGTTTTCAGGCCCAATTTTATAGGAAAAACACCTCAGTGGATGCGACATTTAAGGGTGGTGGAGTGGTGTGGGGCATGCAGGGTTTTGTTTATGGGTGTTGAAAACAAGTATTCTTGTAGGACTCTTAATGCAAATTGAACTGAACAAATCCCTTCGGCTTTTCAATACAAAGTGAAGTGGAAAACTGGTGGTTACCTGGCTAATATGATCTAATATGATCAGTGTTGACAGTTACTACAGATAATTTGCCTCAAAGTGGATTTTTGGAGCTGGATTACATAAATTAGCTGTCTATGCTGATTAAATTAACTGGATTATCGTCAAAACTCTGCATCACCCTGTACAAAGAAATAGCATTCTAGTGAGCAAACATGGATAATAGTTTGAGATATTTTCACCACCAATGAACTGGCAAAATAAGCTTTTAAACATAACTGAACTTCTACAACTTAAAAACAAACTGGAAAGGACATTCAGCTGCACCAAAAGAGGCATTAGCATACAGGTATCATCTTTATTAATATGCAGGCAAATCATAGATTTCATGATATCTATTAAAGGCCATGTAGAACTTAAATGACCTCAAACTTAACTGGGGCCCAAAGTGCTGGCACATTTGTTCATCCTCATTTATCTTAATGTCGCCTGAATAATTTGATCAAATTCCTGTGACTTTGATATGCAGATGAGCTATGAAAATTATGCCAAGTAAAAATGTAAATTCAGCCCAATTTATAATTGTTCAAATTTTACATTCTTTAATCTTTTTCAAGTATCATAAAGCTACAAATGCCAGACATCATAAAAAATTACTTAAAATGGGGAGTGCTTACTATTCACAAACACATCAAGGAATTTTTCTTTAATCAGGTCAAAATAAAGTATTTTCTAACACTGATATATTGAATGATGAAACAGAGTCCTTTGAGGATTAAATGAAGTAGTGGGGAAAATAAAGAGAAAATGGTCAAAATTAATGATTCCCCATAACTCTTTTCTTATTGAGTAATCCAGTAGATTCCTGAGTTGCCAGCCATAGTCATTATATGTCTATTTTGATAAGGCTTTCTTTTAGGCTGGAGGTGCACACAGCACAATTAGCAAAGGGAGATTCTTCTTGCTCACTTCCTTCTTCTCTCCTATTTCCCCCTTTCTACCTAGATGTACATTCACTATGGTCTGAGTCTAATGTAACGGCAGAGACAGACATCTCCCTTGAGCTGAGCTGCAGGAAAAGAGGGATTGTTACTACTAAGAGTGGGGATCTATCTGCACCAAAGGGGGCCACATGTGGCATCTCAGAAAAAGGAACAACCTACACTGTCTCAAAGGTAGTGGCTACAAGTTCTTATGAGAATCCTCTCTGCCCCAGTGTCCTGAGGGAAATAGGACAGAAAAGCAATATCTTTAATGGTCTCAGGAAGAAAATGGGCAGAAAATGAAAGAGAGTTGACAGGAAATGAGGAAAATGAGTTATTTAAAAATATTGCACAGATGTACAATACTGCCCCCAGCAACTCTGTAGATCATTTCCAAGAATCTAGAGAGTATTTGAAACGTTAAAAATGTTTAAAAAAAGCTAGAAAAAGCACACAAAAGCTTCCACATTCTCCCCGAATAAAATACACACGCAAAAAAAAAACATACAACAATGAGATAAATTGAGTTCAATGGAAAAATATGGGTGATATAAAGACAAGATTTTTTTTTTTTAGTTTTTTTTTTGCCACTTTATAGCATGTACTGATTAAATTACATTTTAAAAGTATGGTATTAAAATGTATTTCTTTTCCTGATTTCTCTGGAAATCTGTTTTTTTTTTCTATAGGCAATTAGCTTCCTTCCAGTGTCATGAAGGTTTCTTTAGGATCAAGGGGCTAATGCAGATCATAATTTTGACAGGCAGGACAGCATCCTATGGAGTCAGACAACCATCTTTCATCAAATGTGGAAAGGGAAGTCTCATTTGAAAATTCATCCTTCAGCATTGACTCTTTTGGAGAAAAAGGTCAGAAGTGTAGCCAGATACTCAAATTTTCCACTGGTTCTACCCAGCATATGTATTCCATCAAAGATTAACAGGATCTGGTCTATGTTATTAATTTCTATTATTTCTACAGCCCATTATGGCCACTATGTGGCATAGTTTAAGGAAATGCTTTAGTTCTAAATTAATGAGGTTCTCTAGCAGTTACATGGAAAGGGCAGGGAAACCACATTATAACATAAAAATATCTTCTCTACAATAGAGATGGCAACTTCAATTTATCATAAATTTCACTAATATGCATTTAGCCCCTTTATTATGTTCTTTTTTGAAGAAAATGGGAGCAGCGAGATAACTGGGTTGAGAAATTTCCAGATAATTGGTATAATTTCATATGTATTTAAAAATTCACTCCCACATAGGCAGTGTGGGGGTTTTGTGGGCTTTTTTCCCCACTCCTAAGACCTCAGGTGTGTAACTTTACTCTGCCCCAGGCTATGGCAGACTTTATGAGAACCATTTAGAATGGGCAAGGGCATAAACGAAATATATGCAGAAAGGGTGATCTTTTATAACCACTATATTCAAGTCAGGATTCAGTCTGACACTGAAATACACTTACTCAATGTAATTTATAGATAGTATGTAGTTACTGAGTCTGAAAAATATCATATCAATAACCGAGGAGACAAATGGCGATATAACTAACTTTATTCAAACTACTGACAGATAGATAGACTGGTGACAATGTTTTGTCCCTTCTGCCTTGTGATGGGAGATAAAAAGGATATAAAAGGAAGCCCCAATAGTACTTTTTTTCCATTACCTTTACTCTACTTTCATGACATCTTCTTCCATAAAGATCTAAAAAATTCATTTAGAAGTTATCAGTTTTTGGCTGGACAATTGTTTTGGTCACACTAAACTTGGAAACAATTCATTTACTATACATGGAACCAGATCATGCTATACAAGACATTCTAATTGATAAAGTTATTTTAAAAAGATTTAAGTTGATGACTAGATAGGCTAGTGTTTCTCTCGTGGAGCTTCTTCCAAGATATCTTCATATGCCATTTAAGTATTTTCAGATGGAAACTTAAAGCAAGGATCCACACAGAATTAAAAGGATCCACACAGCCATTTTTCATTTGAGTATTTATTTAAGTAAGTGGCAAATTGAAGGAGAGAATCACAATTCAATTTGGTATGCTTTTCCCCCCTTAAAAGGGATATTTAGCTGCCATTCTATGGAGCAATATAAGGAAGTCTTTAATGTGTAATACTTTTGATAAATTAGGAAAGATCAGTCTTTATTGTATTTTGTATACCTTAATTGCTTTCATATCTATTTTTAAAATTCACTCCCACATAGGCCATCTGGTGGGTTATATGGGGAGAGATAACCGTGATAATGATTTGATAGAGAATAGCAGATAATGAATATAATTCATTCACGAATTTACATTCAGTGAATTCAATGAATATAAAGTTCAGTCTCAAGGCTTTTGATCTCTGTTCTGACCTGAATCTCTGGCCTTGCAACAAGCAGCACGATTCTCTTACACTCATCGTTAGACAGCAAGGCCACTGCTTCTTCTCGATTCTGGACATCTTCCCCATTTATCTAGAAAACAAATGAGAGTGGCACATTAGTTTCCATTTCCACAATGCTGCACACAATAAATGGCAAATATCAGCTCATTTATGGTAAATGTATGGACAATGAAGCTCACACAATGGGCTCATCTTCAGCCCCTCAGCTCAAAGTGCCTTCACTCAATTACGCGCTTACTGTAAGAGCCATATCGATCCGTGAAGGATGGCGGACATCAGAGGAAGCAGTTATGTTCATAAATGTCCAACCTGCGCCCTGGCAACATACATCTAGCAACACAATTAACCAGCTCCTGACAGGTGACGTTCATCTTTCTTCGCTCAGAGTAATGGAAGTGTCACTCTGAGATAATAGTGCTGGGGGAAGAAGGACTGGCAATACCACAACTGAAATCCGTCATCCTGCACGCTTGCCGCGAGCCAATTAGAGAGCTGCAGTATTATCTCTCACCAGGCAATGCTCCCAGGCCACTGCTGATTGCATTTTTATTTAATCATTTCATATTTGCGTGTGGGTCTGACCCAGTTGCCCAAACATCATCGTCAGGATAAATCTCAGTGTTTAACTGATCAAAGTAAAATAACATTCTCATCAATACTCCATTTCCCTTCTAATATCTATCCATTTCCTAAAGTAATACAACTAATGAAATATCTTCAGACTCATCTCTTAAATTTAAAAATTTAAAAAATATTAACATAGAGTAAAATTGAATTTTTAAAATAATGATGAGTGAAAGAAACCAAGCTTGACTAAACTTTAGATTTCATGGAAAAGATTCCAGTGACATTAGAAATATATCTTTTTACTTTTTCTAAGTTCTAAAGAAAAAGTAAATAAGATTTGTAAAGTTTCTTTTTTTAAACTACATTTTCATGTGCAAATATATTTAGCTCTTAATTAATAAAACTTTTTCCTTTGGATATTTAATAATTATTTTCTTTTATTGATTACTCAACTCCATAGAGACAGCAAGATTTTTGATTTATAATTATATGTAATCAAATAATGGGAAAGAAATTCCAATTAAAGAGATCAAGTAATTCTGTCTAAAATAGTATTAATTACTTGAATAAATGAAGCAGATGGAAAATGTAGCAGCACTGACCATTCTTTTTTCAATAATCTAATGTCTTTCACTAAGGACTTCTGCTTAAAAGCATGAAGTAGACTATTGAGGTTTTTCTCCTCATAGGTCTCTGGGTTTCTGGCTGATGCATGAGGACAGACATAATTATCTGAAAACAAGCCCATGAATTTCAACCTTGAACCACAATAAATAATCCTTATTCCTATACTCTTATATGTATTTAGTGCAAGGAAAGCAGGCAATAATAGTAAAAATATATATATATGGGCACAAATTGTATTTTCTTACTCCAATCACTGTCATTTCTCACTTGTATACACAGAAAGGAAATTCAGTGGTTATAAGTTTCACATGCATTCCCTATTTGTTTTTGCAATTCACAAATAAAATTCATCCAATTAGGAAACAGAAGCTACGATTCCACAATGGGAAATAATGACCGGGAAGGATATGTTGCGGTTTGTCATAAATACCTCTGGAAAAGTATGTGTGTACTGACTCCAAGGCCTTTTTTCTCAAATAAAGATAAATTGGCAGTGGTGGATTCCACTATACTTCCCCTACCCTCTATTAAGTGTAGTTTTAAAATAATGACTTTGTAGTATTTACTCTATTTGCACTTTGAGGGCTTATGTCTGTTTCATGGTAATTCTTAGTAATATATTTGCAATGCATTTATTTGTCTGTCAAACATGGACCTGTTTATTCATCTCCTCTCCACTACAGGCACATCTGATCCTAAGAGAATTGAATTGGGTGATCTTACACAGCTTATCTTCATCTTTTCTGTTTGAAATATACTTCTCACTTCTTTTATTCCTGGTCTCCACTTGACTGTACATATATATATATATATAGTCTTTATATATATAACTTAATATATATAATATATATAAAAAATATATATTTCCTCATTCTTCATCTAAATTGCACTTACCATTAATCTAAATACTTATTCATGTTAGTCTAATGCTGCTATTAAGTTTGCTATCTTAAAATGCATATAATAATAGTGCCTTTCTCAGAGGGTCTTTATAAGGATTACATGAGTCGATACAGGTAAAAATCTTAAATAGTGCCTGGTACATAGAATGTCTTCAATGCTGGCACATATTACTGTTGATGCTATTGTTATTGTTGTTATTACTATCATCATTTACATTTTAATCCTTAGTAAAGACAAGACTCTTTCGTGCTAAATAAAGCAAATAAAGTGAAATTTATAGAAGGTTATTAAATGCATAGTAGTAAACATGGTTTTATTTTAAAAGATATCTACCTCATATGTATTTCTAACTCTTAGAGGACCATCAGGAAACAATGGGGTTTTTTGCCTTTTAGTTTCTTTACAGTTGGTATTCATTTCTCTCCCCTGAGAACTCATTATGACCAGAGCTATGGTCTCTGGTCCTGGCAACAATTAGTTCTTACTTTGGGGCAACAGATCATTTCTTGCAGAAACACTTCTACCTTCAGGATCGTACCTGGGATGAAATCACTGACACAGAAATCTGTCATTAAAATGTAATTTATTGTTTCTTTTAGAAAATAAGTGCCACACTTTAGCCAACCGGTTGGTAGATGCTATTGTACTCAGGACATTAGTTTTACACCCAAACTGATACTGGGGCAAGAAATGTAGCCATGGGTTTCAGCAAAGATACCTCTCAAGGAATGAAAAGAATTGAGGAACAGAATCAGATAGAGCTTTCAACCTTCGGTTGCTCTTGGTCCTGAAATAATGGTTTACAGTTACAGGATTGTTTGTGGGAATGCAGCCTGCTGTGCCAGGAAAATACCAGGCAGACATGGAAGTGGAGGACCCAGCAATAAGGGAGGGAGACAGATGAGTAGTCACGTCACATAGCTTAATGGAGGACTTCCACTTTAGGAAAATAGAGGGAAAGAGAACCAAGAGAAAGACAGCAGGTAAGTTTTGTTAACATAACTGTCTCATTTTCTTTACATGGCCATATGTAAATGTTAGTTTCAAAATGGATATTGCCTTGGCTAAGAAGAGATCTGTGGTACTTATATGGATAGATCTGTCAAAATCTCACTTTAGGCCCAATCTCCTGTATGTGTGTATGAGTGTGTTTTGTATGTGTGTGTGTAAAGCCCTAAAAGCTTAGAAATGAGATGTAATATAGCTTTTCTCTTCCATATACCAATATCTAGGTTTTTTCTATTATTGTACCAGAGGTAGGTGGGCAACTCAAATTCTTGACATCCAACCATCAAGAATCTTAGGCAATAAGAAAAGATTTATTTCAAATGTGTTTATATTTTAGTATGGAGACAAAGGAGGTGATCAAAGTCTAGAGACATAGATGCGGAAAAAACAGAAATAGGGAGGAAATATCCAAAGGGAAGAAAATAAAAGAATATGAGAACCAGGGTATTAGTTTGTTCTCATGCTGCTATAAAGAAATACCTGAGACTGGGTAATTTACAAAGAAAAGAGGATTAATTGGTTCACAGTTCTGCATGACTGGGGAGGCCTTAGGAAACTTACAATCATGGAAGAAGGCACCTCTTCACAGGGTGGCAGGAGAGAGAATGAGTGCTGAGCAAAGGGAAAAAAGCCCATTATAAAACCATCAGATCTTGAAAGAACTCACTCACTATCACGAGAACAGCATGGGAGTAACCGCCCCCATGATTCAATTACCTAACACTGGGTCCCTCCCACCACACATAGGGATTATGGGAACTATAATTCAAGATGAGATTTGGGTGGGGACATAGTTAAACCATATCAACGAGTTTATGTGTAGAACAGAGAAATGAAGAGAGAGCTCATTAGAAGTCGTGTTGTTTCACTGAGTTCTTGTAAAGTTTCATCAGGAAGTCATCCTTAGGAACGTTATTGAGTTTTGGCCAACATGAGATTAGGAGGCTTACATGGAATATTACAGGTTTACCATCCCAAGGAGAAAAGGAGAATATAGCATTCTCTCCTTGGAAACTCCTTGGAAAGCTGGTCATATATGTGGTCTTTTACTCTTGTTATCTGATTCAGAAATGCCATATTCAGCACTGCAATTTTGTGAGAGAATGTCCCCAAATTAATTCCTGGAGACATTTGATATAAGTCCCTGGCAATGACACAGCAGACAGAACTGTGAAGGAATGAAAAGGAAGAACTTTCCTTGCAGACTAAAAACACAGGAGAACCACAACTATTCTCAGGAAGTTGGTTCCTGGTTTCTCTTCTGCACAATCCCTACTCTATAACAATCCCCTTTGTGTGACAGCACGTGTGTGTGTGTGTGTGTGTGTATGTATGTGTGTGTGAGTGAGATGTCATTGGGTGAGTTCACCTACAGGCCCATGGTGTGCTACATTAAGAAAAGTTTGGCTACACAGTGAGGGCAGGGCCATTGACATACTTTACTTAGGTCAAATGAACAGAAAATTAAAATCACAATTGCTCTAAAGGGACTCATTTAAATAAAAGTCATCCAAGAAACTTTAAGGATAAGAAGTAAATCCTCTGTTTTTCTCACTCTCATCTCTCTGGGAAAGGAGTCATTAACTGCTCATTACAGGGTATCCCATAATCTCCTCATCAACCATAAGGGAGCTATTTGTCTCTGGGTACAATTTTGTCAGAGTTTTACTTAATATAATTTCATAATCACCCTTAAGACTCTTTGTTTCCTATGTGTGCAAACAGAATTGTATTCCAGGTTTTTTTACTGGGACATGTATTAAGTGTGACATATTTGTCACAGAATATAAAGTAATCAGGCGGAAAACAGCACTTTAACATCCTGCTATTGTTTCCTTAGTGAATCTAGACCATTAAGAAATGCTTTATTATCTAGCAGGTATTTTCTCTAAAAACTTACCTGCCCACAATATCCCTAAGGATTTTGGAAGTGTCATAACATACAGTATGCATGTATGGAAACACATGCACTTTATTTCCATCCAACTATACCCACAGAACAAATGAATGAAATTTTAATAACTGTATTTGTGTATCTAGCCTAGGGAAGAGGGGTTAGCTGGGAACTAGGAAGGGTGCCAGGTACAGTAGGAGGTATGGGATATGAAGTAGATGGCAAGAGGAAGAAGTACCAGCTGGCAACAGCAAGGGAGGAGTAAGAAAAATGACACAATATAGACCTAATGCATCTGCAAGTGTATCCAAATAAGGTCATTTCATGTTGGGGCACAGATCTTCCAGACTTTCCAATCACTGAGCATTTTACTCTATTATAGTATTGTGGAATGAATGCTGGATGTAACGTGACTCTGAGCATCAAAAGATTACATTATTTTCAGTATATTTTACTGGAGATGTTAACAAAGTGAACAATACGTTTAAAATTATTTCAAAATTTAAAAAATAGTAAAACACTTTTGAAGCTTTTGTTATCTGGATGACACACGAAAATGGTCCCTTTAATTTCTTAACGAAGCTGTACAAGCAAAGCCTTTCAACAGATGTTACTCATCTACCCTATCATTCTCTCCACTGAATACCCTGGTTTCATTCATTGATTTATTCATGTGCATGTGTTAAAGATGACAGAAATGCAGTGGTCAACAAGACTATGTCTTGGCTTCCTGGTCCACTTTTCATTCCCCTGTGTATGATAGACGTAGTTCCATTTTGTTTACTATAGATCACTATTTCGGGAGCTCACTGAAGGAGAAATTATGTTCTTGAGGTTTTCTGAAAACTAGTGGGACCCCAAACGATCATTAATTCACACTTTGTATTCTTTCCTGTTTGGAGCCTTAACAGAAGGTCCACGGTTAAAAAAAAAAAAGGAGCTCTGCACTATCTAGCTAGAGGAAGAACAGGCGGTGAGGAGATGGTGTGATTCCATGAGTGTTGTCCTGAACAAGGGAGAGAACTGCAGAAAGTTGGGCAGGACATGTGCCCAGGCCACGCAGGCAGAGTGTTACCATGACAGTGTCATGCTGTACTGTAATCATCTGTGTATGTTCCTGTCTTCCTAAACAGAGATGGTGTGCTCCAAATGCTGGGACAACATCTTGTCTATTTTTGAAACCCTGGTTTTCGGATTCCAAAAGTGTGGAATCCAAAAAAACACTCTCCAAGGGTCTGTATCCAACAAGGAGAAATAGTAGCTCTGAAACAGTGGCAGTGACGTTTTAACAGCTTATCGCTCCCTGGATTTATCATTCAAGTCCTCCTCTCTGTTTCACAGTTGTGATTGGCAGTGAAATTCCATCCCAAAGCACCTCTGGTCTTATCTTGGAGTTGATCTGTTCACAAGAGCTGGGGAGTTTGTGTGTCTCCCTGCAGCCATTCTTTTTTTTTTTTTTTTTTTTTTTTTGAGAGTGTCTCACTCTGTCATCCAGGCTGGAGTACAGTGGTGGCATCTCGGCTCACTGCAACCTCTGTCTCCCGGGTTCAAGCGATTCTCCTGCCTCAGCCTCCCAAGTAGGTGGGATTACAGGTGGCTGCCACCATGCCTGGCTAGTTTTTGTATTGTTTAGTAGAGACAGGGTTTCACCATGTTGGCCAGGCTGATCTCAAACTCTTGACCTCAGGTGATCTGCCTGCCTCGGCCTTCCAAAGTGCTGGGATTACAGGCGTGAGCCACCGGGCCTGGCCCCTGCAGCCATTCTTTATGGGAGAGGACTCAGAAAGGAGAGAGCAAGCAGGTGAAGGCAGGTTTAGGATAGAAACTGGCTTTCAGCTATTCCTGATTTGGCCTAAAACTCTTTCCAGCCTCACATCCCTCCTACAGTCTGCTTACTATCTCTTGCATAAAGCTGAAATGTAATCAGTCTCTATGTTTCCACATTTCCATGTGGGGAATAAAACATATTCTCCTTCATCTCCCAGCAACTCATTGGTAAATACAGTAGTGCACTACACAACAGCTTTTCAGTCAACAATGGACTGTAGATACATCAATGGGCCCATAAGATTATAATACCATGCTTTTACTATACCTTTTCTACGTTTAGATACATAAAGACTTACCATTGTGTCACAATTACCTATAGTATTTAGTGCAGTAACATGCTGTACAGATTTGTAACCTAGGAAGAGTAGGCTACGCCAGCTAGCCTAAGTGTGTGTGTAGTAGGCTGTACCATCTAGGTCTGTGTAAGTACACTCTCCAATGTTTGCACAACCCGGAAATCATCTAATGACATTTCTCAAAACATATTAAGTGACTCATGACTGTAGTTGGCACCTTCAAACTTCTAGACTTTCATATAGCAAAGGAACATCTAGATCCATGTTCACTTAATTTATTCTGGAAAAGGCAGCAATAACTGCTGCTGCTAGTAATAATAGCCATTAATATTTATTAACTACTTATGCACTGTGTTAAGCGTATGGCAAGCATAATCTCATTTCACATTCACAACAACAATAGGTTATTATTACCATTTTTTTAAGATGAGGAAATAAAGCTTAGGATGAGAGGAGGTTATGCAGTGTGCCAAGCAAATGGTGAAGCTGGAAGAGAAGTCAAATTTGACTCCAGAGATGGTATTTGAACCACTAATTATTAGCTAATCACTCTTAATATATCGCACCATCCTAAATTAGTTTTAAATGACAGCACTTTTTTTTTTTGGTTTTGTAGATGTTAGTATCCAAAAGCAAAGACAAATTCTTTTCTCAACAGTTTACAAGAAACAAAGTAAAATAGTAACTTTGGACAGATCGTGGGGAACTAAAGGAAATTACTATACCACCTACTTGCAAAATCCGATCCCCTTCTCGAATCCGGCCGTCTTTGGCAGCAATGCTATTTGGGTCAACCTGTAATGAAGAGGACATACATCTTCAACTGGGTATGAAACATTCCCTCAAGAACTTAAAAATATGGCTTTAAAATATATTTTGAAAAAGCTGTTTCAAAATTCTCTGTTGATTTGTGACAGTATACATAATATTTCTCTCCAACAAAACTCATTGATTCTAAAAATGTAAATGAGCTATTTTAGAATGAACATGAATAAAATTGTGAGGACTAGAGCAGAACTTAATCTGAAGACCAGTTTTCCACCCTTTCTCTATTTCTTCTTTCCTTTTTCCCTTCATTCTTTTTTTTTTTCACATTTGTTCACTCATTTCTGTATCCCAACTGTCACATGATCTTCAGTTGACATGAGGTGATGGTAATGCTAGGACTCTCTGGACCCAGGAAATTTACTTTTTGTCTTAGCAAAGCTGATAGCTGTAGTGTAAGTCCGTCCTTTTTTTTTTCTTTTTTTTTTTTTTTTTTTGAGACAGAGTCTGGCTCTGTCGCTCAGGCTGGAGTGCAGTGGCGCCATCTCCGCTCACTGCAAGCTCCGCCTCTCGGGTTCATGCCATTCTCCTGCCTCAGACTCCCGAGTAGCTGTGACTACAGATGCCTGCCACCACGCCTGGCTAATTTTTTTTTTTTTTTTTTTTTTTTTTTTTGTATTTTTAGTAGAGATGGGGTTTCACCGTGTTAGCCCGGATGGTCTTGATCTCCTGACCTTGTGATCCGCCCGCCTTGGCCTCCCAAAGTGCTAGGATTACAGGCGTGAGCCACCGCGTCCGGCCCAAGACCATACTTATTAAAGAGAATTATGTCTCATGGGCACATTAATTTATATATAAAGACATTTACAACCTATATTGCTCAAGAAACACACACACACACACACATACACACACACGCACATCTGATCCATGCATTTAATTACTCAGTACTACTTTACATGTGGGGTAAAGTATATTAACTATAAACTATTTTAGAATGTATAGATATTTAAGGCTGTATTAGGAGCTTATCAGCATTTTAATGGGCTAAACTTGAGTGATGACTTACAGTTCACTGCGGGTAATTTCATCTATCAGATTTCATGTGATGGCTTCAAACTTTATTTAGGCTTGTTGCATCAAAGCTTTTTTTTTTTAAGCAAACTGTTTCAAGTGTAGCATAAGGTTGATCCATCCTATCCATATGTTAGATATTACTTTCTTATTATGGGTGCCACCTAATAATTGAGTCTTAAATCATCAATCAAGAATAAGTGACACTATAATTACATGTAAGAGGTAAAAGGAAAACATTCCTTCCAAGTACATATGTTCAGATCCTGTGGCTTCTTTCCCTTCCCTGAAAAGTGCAGCTCCAATTCTGACATATTTAAATAGTAAATAGAGACTTACTAGAAGGAAGTGAAGGGTGATTCATGAACTGTATCCCATTTAAAAACCACTCACAATCTAAAGCCTCATCTTTAGAACTGTAATCAAACTAATATTAAACTTCTACCTTCCTATCTCTGTACATATTACAAGAGATAATGCCACAGGTGTTTCCTTATACTTCCTCACCCTAATCAGAGGAATTATCCTAATTGCATATTTAAAAGAAGTACATAAGTTGAATATTATCTGGAGATTTTTCCATCGCAGAAGCCGGTCAGTAAATTTTTTGGCAGAGGGATAAAGAGTAATATTTTACACTTACAGAGTTGTGTTGTTTTCTAAATGCATTAATTACATTATCTCTTCCACATTCTAAGCAGGTCTATCAAAACAATAAGATAAGCACTGTTGTACTCACCTTGTAGTTGAGAAAGCTGAAGCTCAGTATATTTAGGTAACGTTTTCAAGATTATGGCCAAGAAAACTCAGAACAGCATAGAGCAGCAATTAGTATCTAGTTTGTCTAACTTCTGCATTTATATATAAACATATGTACACATATGTTTTTCACATATAAGTATGTAATTTTTTATCATAAGCATATTTAATTTTAATTTATTTATATTTAGAGACAGGGTCTCATTCTGTCACTCATTGTGTCACTGCACTGGAGTGCAGTGGCACAATCATAGCTCACCGTAACATCGAATTACTGTGCTCAAGCTATCCTATTGCCAAAGCCTCCTGAGTAGTTAGGACTACCGGCATATGCCACCATGACTGACTAAATATTTTTTTTTTTTTTGTAGAGACAGAGTCAAACTCCTGGCCATAGGCAATCTTCCTGTCTCGGCTTCTCAAAGTGCAGGGTTTATAGGCATAAGCCACTGTGCCCAGCCTTAATTTTTAAAAACATTCCTTCCCACTTCACATAAAATAATGCTTTTTGCGAGTTTTAAAAAATCATCTCTTGTAATACAATTTGCTTCACAGTCTTTAAAAGGAATGAACACTAACAGTATCTCGCATTTTAGACTCTCACTTGTGCATTGCTTCTTGGCCTTTGCCTAAGATCAAGTGTGGAATCTCACTTGCGGGGTTGAATAAAACAAACTAACAGATGCACTCATTGGGTATTCAACTGTATCAATGCCATCAGCAGAGTAAAAGATGTGATTATTGTGAGTAGTAATTTAAAACAATTAGCCAGTGCTACTGTTAATAGAACTCATAAAAGACACAGTAGAATGGAAGGACAGATGTTTGAGGATCAAAAACTTTGCTGGACTTGCTGCATTCTTATGGGAATTTATTCAAATTTGGACAATGTTACCACTTTTGCACTTTTCCTTGCTGGGATTCTGGGGTGAAAGTATTCACATTAAACAAGCTCATAATAATTACATTACTTGGGCAGAATAATTTACTTTCCTAATTGAAGGTGACACGTTTTGGAACATGGCCAACTCCAATTCTTCACATTCAAGCCTCTGAAGGAAGGGTTTTCTCATTGTGAGTCATTTCGCTCTGTTCTTCCTAGTCTCCCTCCTCGAATTTCCCCTCCATGGCGTTTCTTACCTCGCTGACATAAATGCCGGTGTCTTCTTCATCATCTGTTCGGTAACAGACTGTCAGGCCCAGCTTCTCTTGACTGCTAACACGACACAACTCGACCTCCTGAAAGAACAACACACACAGATGACATTTATGTCAGAGAGAAAATCTGCAACAGAATGGAGAACTCACTGATATTCTTTGGGTTACTCTGGCAAGTATTAATAATTATTGCCCAACATTGGAAATTAACTTTTTTTTTTTTACCAATATTATTCAAATGTTCTTTCAGCATGGATTTCTATGTAGGGAAGCCAGTGTTTTATATTTTTGTTGTAAGTTTGGAGATACACAGTTGTTTGCATCAAGCTGTCAATGCAAAACTCCTTAAAAATTACACAATAATGTATAAATCAAATACATGTATACATGAATACACTGGAATCAATAAAATAATTGAGAATGTCAAAGTTAGTGGCAAAATGTTCATAAAAACATGAGGAGTTACTATTACATGTTTTTATTTGTATTGTAAGAAAACAACATAACTTCAAATAATAAAAAAAAGACTATACCAAGCTGTTTCCATCAATTCTGCTCTGAAGTTCTACACAATATGATAATAAGCAAGTGTTTTGTATAGGTCAGGCCAAGGTTTTCTATTATTTTGTAGAAACTCTCATTCTTGGAAAGAAATGGTTTCATCCAGGCTGAAGGGAGAGACATCAAAAGCCATTTGGGGCAGAGGCAATGATTCAAAATGAAGCAGTAAATGAACAGGAAAATACATTTACTGAAACACATGGCTAAGGGCTTGAAATGTCAGTCCTCAGGTAATGTATATTAAATTCATTTCCTGATTTATGTTCAGTAAAATAATAATAAATTTCAGTGTATTTCAGTTTTATATAATGAAATGGACTTGTACTACTTTCAGAAGCCGATGACTTCAGGATAAATTACATATTTCCAAGGATTAAAACACAAATTAGCACACTAATTATGGAGAATTTATTCCTATTGGATGTAGAATATAAGACCCATTAGTAAATAATTGGATGAAGAAGAACAATGTCTATTTAAATTAGAAGTGAAGTCTGGATCAATTTCTAGCACTCAGGCTCTGTGGGAGCTCTGAATTTATCTGTCTTGCTTAATGCTCTTTCTCCAGTGCCTACAACAGGATATTTCAGTGTGGGCACTCAGTAACAACTAGCTGAAGGGTGACTAATTTTATTTCAAAAATCTTTCCAGATGCACAGAGATTTTTGTAAAACCATAGGTAGGTAGTCTTTCCTCTTTGATTGGAAATAGAGGTGAGGTGTGTGTGTGTGTAAAGATTATGAAAGTTGATAAGAATAGAGTGCTAAGGTCTAAATGTTTGTGTTCCCTACAATTTGTATTAGGGTTTCAACATATTTTACCTACCAAGGAGGTGGGGACTTTGGTAGGTGATTACCAAAGGTAATCAACTTTGGTAGGTCGTAAGAACTGCTGAGCCCTCATGAAAAAGATTAGTGCCCTTAGGAAGAGGCCCCAGAGAGCTATCTTGCCTCTTCCACCATGTAAGGACAGACACAGTGAGAAGGTGACCTCTATGAGGAACAGGCCCTCACCAGACACTAAAACTCCTGGTGCCTTGATCTTCTACTTCCTAAACTCTAGAACTGTGATAAACTTGTTTCTGTTGTTTAGAAGCCACCCTGTTCATGGTATTTTGTTATAGCAGCCCAAATGTACA